>NC_000014.9:75520803-75672319 GCF_000001405.40 Homo sapiens | reverse complement strand
AGCTGAGATTGTGCCACTGCACTCCAGCCTGGGTGACAGAGCGAGACTCCGTCGCAAAAAAATAAAATAAAACAAAATAAAATAAAATACTAGCAATTACACTCTGACAAAGTGGGATTTATCTCAGGAATATAAGGGAGGTTCAAGACACAAAAAGTCAGTCAATGTAATGTACCACGTTAACAGGCTGAAGGGGGAAATATCATTTCAGTTGATGTGGAAAAAGCATTTGACTAACACCTTTTCATGATAAAAACACACAACAAACTAGGAATAGAAGCAAACTTTCTCAACATGACAAAGGACATTTATGAAAACCCACAGCTAGTATCATACGCAATGACAGAAAACAGAAAGCTTTCTTCCTATGATCAAAAACAAGACAAAGACACCCTCTTTCTATTCAGCATTGTACTAGAAATTCTAGCCAGAACAATTAGGGAAGAAAAAGAAATAAAAGGCATCCACGTTGGAGAGAAAGAACTAAAATTCTCTCTATTTGCAGATAACATATTACATGCAGACAAACCTAAACACAAAAACTATTAGAGCTAATAAATGAGTGCAGCAAGGTTTCAGGATACAAGATCAATATACAGAACTCAGGTGTATTTCTATACACTAGCAGTGAATAACCCAAAAATGAAATTGAGAAAACAATTCTATTTACAATAACATCAAAAAGAATAAAATATTTAGGAATAAATTTAACCAAGGGGGTACAAGACTTGTACACAGAAAACTATAAAACCATGATGAAAGAAATTAAAGAAGCCCAAAAAATTGGAAAGACATTCCATGTTCATAGAAAACATCATTAAGATGGCAACACTCTAAGAAGTGATTTATAGATTCAATGCACTCCCTATCAACATCCCAACAGCCATTTTTGAAGAAAGGGGAAAAGCTGATCCTAACATTCATATGGAATTGCAAGGGACCCTGAATGGCCAGAGATCTTGAAAAAGAACTATATTAGAGGACTTACAATCCGCAATTTCAAAACTTAATACAAAGGTACGGTAATCAAGAGTATGTTACTACCATAAGGATAAATGTATAGTTCAATGAAATATTAAAAGTCCATAAGTAAACCCATACACCTATGGTCTACTGATTTTCAACAATAGTGCCAAGACCATCCAGTGGGGAAAAGAATAGTCTCTTCAACTAATTTTGCTGAGACAACTGGATATCCAAATGCAAAAGAATGAAGGTGAACCCTTACATAACCCTACATGAAAAATTTAACTCAAAATGGATCAAAGACTATTGAGCCCTAAATATAAGAGCTTAAACCATAAAACTCTTAGAAAAAAGCACAGGGATCATGACCTTGGGTTAGGCAATGGTTTCTTAGATATGACACAAAGAATATAAGCAACAAAAGAAAAATTAGATAAACTGGATGTCATCAAAACAAAAAACTTTTGCTCATGAAAGAACACTAACAAGAAAATGAAAGACAATTCACAGAGTAAGAATATTTGTAAATCATATATCTTGTCTAATATCCATAACATATAAAACTCTTATAATTCAACAACAATAAAGAAAACCCAATTTTTAAAATGTACAAAGGACTTGAATAGGCCTTTCTCCAAAGAAAATACACAAATGGCCAAAAAGTACATAAAAAGATATTCAAATTACTCATTAGGGAAATGCAAATCAAAACCACAGCCAGATACCACATCACATTCACTGGTATGGCTATGATCTAAGAAACAGAAAATATCAAATGTTAGTGAGGATGTGGAGAAACTGGAACCCCTATACGTTGTTGACGGGAATGTAAAACGGTACAGCTGCTATGGAAAACAGTTTGACACGGAATAAGTTAAACACAGAATTACCATATGGCCTAGCAATTCCATTCCTAGGTATACCCCAAAGAACTGAAGATTAAGTGTCCAAACGACTTTTCCGTGAACATTCATAGCAGCACAATTCACAACAGACAAAAGGTGGAAAAAGGCCAGACACAGTGGATTATGCATGTAACCAAGGCAGGATTGCTTAAGGCCAGGAGTTTGAGACCAACATAGGCAACACAGTGAGATCCTGTATCTAAAAAATAAATAAATTTTAAAAACAAAATTAAAAAAAAAGGTGGAAACAAAAAAAATGTACATCAACTGATGACTGGATAAACAAAATGTGGTGTATCATTGGAATGCATTCATTAGCATATACAATGGAATGTTATTCAGCTATAAAAAGGAATAAAGGACTGATATATACTCCAACATGGATGAACCTCAAAAACATTATGCTAAGTGAAAAGAAGCCTGCCAAAAAAGGTCACATATCACATGACTCCATTTATATAAAACATCCAGAATATGGGAATCTATAAAAACAGAAAATAGATGAGTGGTTGCCAGGGACTGGTGGTATGGGGGCTGGGGATATCTGCTTAATGGGTATTGGCTGTACTTTGGAGATGATGAAAATGTTCTGGAACTAAACAGTGGTGACGGCTGCACAACATTGTGAATGTACTAAACAACAACGACTTGTACACTCTAAAATGGTTAAAATGGTAAATTTTGTTAGGTGTATTTTACCACAATTAAAAAAAAAACACATGTACACAATATTCTTGAAAAAAAATCAGAGGAAAAACATAAGCAGAAAACAATTTAAGAAATTATAATGTTTGAAGTATAACAACTCAATTGATTTTTCTCATGGCCAAGGCCCTTTCCCTATATATATGTCATATCAACTTCTTTAAGACAAGGACGTCTGGGCCATGCCCAGCTCCGTCCTCTGTGGGAGAGGTTATACGCACCTCCAATTACTCTAATATTGTTGTCCTTTGTAAGAATAGCGTCGGCATGGAATACCAAAACTGGAATTCTCCTGCAGCCTCCAGTCCACATGATGCATGGATGATCCCTATAACGACAAAAAAGCCTTCATTAATTTACAGCTCAAAACCTGAACTAACTGCTGATGCAGATTACTATGGTTTGTTGCTTAGCAAGTTTCCCCTTCCTTCTGGAATACAAATCCCAAATATCCTGTGGGAAATCACATCTCCCATTCTTAGCTGTGTGTTTAAAATTAACTCTATCCCTGGTTCAGGGATGGGCCTTGATTGGTTTCAGCCAATCAAGATACTTCATCATCCAGTATAATTAGTGGTTCAGAGATAGGCACATAAACCAATTGGAGCCCATAAGTTTAAGGAGACATGTTCTGGACTCTGTGAGAAAGCAATGGTTTCTTTCTCTTCTATAATGGCTACAGATGATAGCCTGTCTTCCTCTTGATGGTATAGGATGAGAATGAGAAGTCTGGAAGGGCAACAACCATTTTGTGACCTTGAAAGAAGAGCCTGTAGCTGTTGGTGAAGGAGAAAGTCAGCAGGAGGTTGACTGAAGAGATAAAGTGGGATTTTCAGAATCAAGATATGCCTGAATATGAGTGAAAGTATTCTCTTTATTACTTAGGACCATTTGGATTATGTTGTAATCCTTTGCACACATAAAGAATCCTAACTGATGAGTTCACAATAATTTACATACTCCTTTTACACGCTATAGTCCATTTTCAAGCCAATTTGATGATGCATCCTAAGACTCTGAACTAGGAACTCTAAATTAATACAAGTATCCCAATTAAAATCACATATTTTAAAGGAAGCCCATGCTAAATGGAACAATATATATTTTCCTCCAGTATAAAACCACAGGGGAGAAAAAGACCTCTGACTTTATTCTCTTTCCCTATCCTCAGGAAATCTCAGCTTAATTTTAGGCTGATGAATATTTACTCACAGATCAGAAAAACCTTCACCCTCATTAGGGCAGGGAGGTAGGAAGAGAAATAAAATTAAATGAACTGAGTCCCTACTATGTGCCAGGATTTAAACTAAGAGCTCTCATATCTCACTTAATCCCCCTGCCCATACTATGAACTGCAGGAAAACTGTCTCAGAAAGGTTAAGTAACCTGCCTAAGGTCATATAGCTGGTTAAGTAAGGGATGAGGTATTTGAACCTAACATCTGTATTCTTTCTACTGTTTGCCTCCCTAATCGCATTTCAGCAAAGTTGTATATATTGGATACCTTGAATTCAATTATTTGGGAACTTAAACTGATAATTCCTTAAATGCAATACAATCCACTTGGCCAAGATTCACTCGACTCTTAAAAACTCACATAACCACATCCCTTAACAAAGGTCATACCACAAATCTCAGGGCCAAGTCAGCCCCTCCCAATCCAACTTTAAAAAGATCCACACTCGGGCCGGACACGGTGGCTCACGCCTGTAATCCCAGCACTTTGGGAGGCCGAGGCAGACAGATCACGAGGTCAAGAGATCGAGACCATCCTGGCCAACATGGTGAAACCCCGTCTCTACTAAAAATACAAAAATTAGCTGGGTGTGGTGGCCCGCACCTGTAGTCCCAGCTACTCGGGAGGCTGAGGCAGAAGAATCAGTTGAACCTGGGAGGCGGAGGTTGCAGTGAACCAAGATCGTGCCACTACACTCCAGCCTGGCAACAGAGCAAGACTCCGTCTCAATAAAAAAAAAAAAAAAAAAAAAAAAACATAAAAAGATCCACACTCTGAATGCACAGTCTGTAAGGCTCCCAATCTTAGGAGTGAGGCAGTCTTTAGACTTGGGACAAGCTGCCAACTGCTTTCTAGTGAAGAAAGCAAAGAACAGCATACCTAGTTTATTCCCCGTTTTCTAGAAATGGCATGTGGATGCTTATTGTTCTTGTTCTTTGACTTGGTGACAGTACCCACTTGTGAGAAACGGTGCTGATAGGGTACCTTTTTTAGCAGGAAGGATTTTTTTGTGGCTTGCTTGCTTCTTCATCTTTAACACCTGTAAAATGTGGGCATGAAGCCAGGTGATTCCTATGATCTCTTCCAACCTTAATTTTTCCACTATATTTCTAAATCAGCAAGTACAGAAAAAAACAGGCAGCCTAAACTACAAAGTCTCAGACAGGAACTCTGGAAACTATCCAAAGTTCTCTGTCAATCTAGCACTAGCTACCAGCTGGCACCACTATGCCTTAGCATTTATAAACAATGGATTGCTGCTCCAATTTTAAAATGCCTGACAAGGGGAGCACAATCAACAGATACACAGCTGAGAAGAGCCCAGGCCCTAACTGTACTATCTGTAGAAAGCCAAGTCTCTAACAGAGAAATCTTTTCATTTCCAACCCATGGAAAGATAAAAGAGAGAGTAAACAGTAAGGTCAGCTAAAAAAAAAAAGCACTTAAGGAATATGCGAAGTTGTCATGAAAAACATATTCCCACCAAGTGATGCTAAAAGGAAAAAATTCAGAATGATTAGGAAACTGAAAATTGGGACTTTATATTCTCATTCACATCAGAAACTGGTACATATTAAAATCCACTTTTATAGGCATGAAAAACAAAGGATTTGAATAATTACCGAAGCAGATCAGTTTTATGATTCACTTTATTGAAAGCCTAAAAACATTTTGGTTTTCCGGGAATAATTTCATGAGAAATAGACATCATTCACTCCTGGGACCCAGCCTACATAACTCAAAGATGGAGCTGTAAGCAGCTTTTGCATTCTTGCTTCTAGGCTGTCTTCATACCACTACCCCTATTAGAAATGCCTTCCCCACTTCTGTTTATCTAAGCCCACTCTCCAAGGCCTACCTAAAGTCTCACCACCTTCAGGCAGCCTTCCCCAGCTCCTTCAGCCCATTACGATACTTCCTTCTCTGAACTCCTATAGCACCCACTTTATAATTGATTGTTAATAATCTTTTTAACTGATATAAAGCCAGCCTTTTACAATAGCAATTAAAGTTGACATTTTTTCAGTGACCAAAGAAATCTTACATCACGTTCTTCTACGAAAGCTTCTATATCTACATACAGAGTTGTATTTGGGATCCCCAAGCAAAATATAGAAAAACAGCCTCTTTACATTTTCTATTTGAAATAATACCATGCAAAACAAGACTGCCTGGATAGTTTCTATTCCTGAAGTCCACGATTGCAAGGAATTAATACTTTAACACAGCCTAGGGATCTGAGCAGATCTAACAGATGTCCATGGATATACATCTTTGGATCAAGTCAACATCTTCCGATGATTTATGGCCTTCAAACTTCTAAATCAACTTTTAAAATGTAAGCCTGCTGCTTCAGGTGTGAACAAGATTGATTTAAGCTTCCTAATGTAAAAAATAAGTGTCTGATAGACAAGACATAAGCTGATGAAACAAGATTAACAGTTAAAAATCAACAGTAGGAGTCTAAAAGGAGGAAGTGGTCCATAAATTTGGATGGGAGCAGAGGGAAAATTACACCTTTATTTTCACTAACTTTTACTAGAAATTCAGTATTTCTTAATTATGAATATAGGCAACGAACCATAGTAATATTAGCATTATCTGTGCCTTTGACGTTATCTAAAATTACAGCAGTTTTTTTGTTTTGTTTTGTTTGAGACGGAGTCTCACTCTGTCTCCCAGGCTGGAGCACAGTGGCACAATCTCGGCTCACTGCAACCTCTGCCTTCCAGGTTCAAGCGATTCACCTGCCTCAGCCTCCCGAGTAGCTGGGATTACCCACAACCACACCCGGCTAATTTTTGTATTTTAGTAGAGACAGGGTTTCACCATATTGGCCAGGCTGGTCTCAAACTCCTGACTGCAAGTGATCTGCCCACCTCGGCCTCCCAAAGTGCTGGGATTACAGGCGTGAGCCACTGCACCTGGCCAATTACAGGTATTACATTTGTCACTACTTCTAAGTTATAGTAGTTTAAGACTCACCCCTAGATCACATGTGATCATGGTCTTTCTATCTAAATGCTAGTGTGATGAGGTTGGACAACAATTGGGCAACTCTCCTCCTAATAATCATTCAGTCACTAAATGATGACACCTCACACTGGTGACCCAGACATCTATGCTGCTTCCCAGTACCCCCGACCTATGATTGTTAATCAAAGGCCACCCTCCCAGTGTACTGATCTTACACAAACTAAACAAAAACAGTCTTCATGTTGTTGTCTTTAGAAAACAAAATTTAACTTTCCCAGATTTGAAATGATCTTATTATTTAATGTATTAGTAAAACAGCACATATTACTATGTTACAAATGTGTTTTAATAACTGCATTTGAATGTAATTAGTACTCTTTGTAATAATATGTATTTTATTTTAAGCCTTAAAAACATTATTCTGGTAAGGAATCCATGGCATAAAAAAGTTAACAACTCTGATCTAAGGTAATGTAAAGTATAAAGCCTTCATTTATTCCTTCATTTCGTTATTCAGTCAGCAAGAATTTACTAAGTACCTACTATAATATTAGGTCAAACTATCTGCAATCGTCAGTATTTGACTGTTTCTGACCTACCAAAATGGCAGTTTCATATAGTTCAATCTAACATTTGTCAGGCCCAATCTGTAAACCCACTAATAAGAGAGACAGTAATGGAGTAAAAGAACAACCTTTAAAAAGGGAAAGACTGATACTTGCAGCAGAAGTTAAAAGTTTTATGAAATGGGTAAGAGGCAGCACACCGAAAGCAAAAAGTCAGAAGAAGGGAAAGTAACCAGAGGGAATTATCCATTTAATTATCCTGAACAAGAATGACCCAAATATACTTTCAAATCTCTATTAGTTTCTATGACCTAACAGTGATAAGAAACGTTTCCTCAAAGCTTTCTTAATGCTTCAACAATTTTTTTCAAATTACAAGTAATCTTGTATCTTACAAGAAGCCCACCATAAATTCAATATTAAAACCAGTAAAAATAATGCCTTACATTTGTATAGCACTTACAAAGTAATTTCACATACATTATGCTATTTGAGTCTAACCAGACCCCTACAAAATAGCCTGGGAGATATTATCTCTATTTTTCAGGTTACATAGCACACACATATCCAAAAGGACTCAGGGAGAATCTTAAAAATGAATTTTACCTTTAAACCAGATTCTCTCTTTACTCTGTGTCAAGCAATAATTAAAGGAGGCAAAAGAGCAAAGTGATCAAAATCCAGAAAAGCTAAGTCCAAATCTCAATGCATCACTTACTCTCTATGGGTCACTGAGGAAATTTCCTGATAAGACTGAGTTTAAAAAAGTGAAAATAATAACACCTTCAGATTTAAAAAGATATAAGATATAGATGAGATAAAGCCTTTATCGTCATCTGTAGTAGCTATATTTATCATTATCATTCTTTTTTTTTTTTTTGAGATGGAGGTTTGCTCTTGTTGCCCGGGCTGGAGTGCAATGGTGAGATCTCAGCTCACTGCAACCTCCACCTCCCAGGTTCAAGCCATTCTCCTGTCTCAGCCTCCCGAGTAGCTGAGATTACAGATACCCACCATCACGCCCAGCTAATTTCTGTTTTTTTAGTAGAGATGGGGTTTCACCATGTTGGCCAGGCTGGTCTTGAACTCCTGACCTCAGGTGATCCGCTCACCTCGGCTACCCAAAGTGCTGGGATTACAGGCATAAGCCAACACACCTAGCTATTATTCATTCTTATTGTGATGATCCAGTAATCATGAAATTGGACTCTTAACTAAAAGAACTCAGGAAAGCAGTGTGGGTCAATGGACACAACACAGGCTATAGAACTCTAATATCCTGCCTCAGAGTTACTATGGTAAGTTACCTGACCTCTCTATATTACCACCATTTTATCATTGTAAAGGCTTTTGAGAAAATTAGCAAACGTAACTAATGTTGTAGAGTTTGGACATGCTTTTCTTCAATACTTAAACATTTCAAAATCTTCTGTTGGGAGTTCTGAGCAAGAGTTCACCAAGAGCTACTACTTGCATTTTACAACATCTAGAGCTGATGTTCACTTATGGGCCCAGAAAGAGAGCCTTATCTCATTTCTCATAGCTGATAGGGACTGAGTAACAAGACCTTAAATGACATTATGGATAGAAGCTAAAACCAGAGTTAGATAATCCCCAAGGAATGACACTAGATAAAAGAGTACATAAGTAAAAGAGAAGAGTATATAGTAAAACAGTATATAAGAGTATATAAGTGAAAGAGTACAAAGCACAGGTTGAAAGCAGGCTTGCTATTACTTACTCTTGACTTATGACCTCCTCATCCTCTGAGGATGATGCTGTTTCCTCCAGGTCCCGGGCCATCACGATTGGCATTTCCTTTAGGGTTTGTCATGCAGTCAGCAGACGGGGGCCTCAGAGACCTTTCCTAGCAGATTCACTGGATCAAGCAATTTGGATGGCACAGATTCCTGCAAGAAATCAACTTGATTGGATCAATTGACCTGAAACACAATGCAGTTGTCTATTTATTGGTTATTGCTGATAATCTAAGTAATGAAAATGACTATATTCCTAAACAGTGCTCAACCTCTAGAAGTTTACTTTCCATAACATATGGAATGTGCCTCAATATGTGCCTCAATATGCCACAAAAATCAAGATTTTTTTCAAACATACAGTCTGTGCTCTATATATTTGAAGAGCTGTTACTAAGTTTGAGTTTCTCATTATTTACTAAATCGAATATGCACCAAAAGGATAGACTCCTCACTTTCACTCAGTTTGAGGCAGGTGACTGATTCCCTAAAACATATATTCCTTGCTAGACAAACCTGGCCTGGGTTAAAAATAAATAAATAAAAACTCAAGGTTTAAGACCCTTGCAGGCCGGGCAGGGTGGCTCACGCCTGTAATCCCAGTACTTTGGGAGGCCAAGGCGGGCGGATCACCTGAGGTCGGGAGTTCGAGACCAGCCTGACTAACATGGAGAAACCCCGTCTTTACTAAAAAAAAAAAAAAAAAATACAAAAAATTAGCCGGGTGTGCTGGCTCATGCCTGTAATCCCAGCTACTCGGGAGGCTGAGGGAGGAGAATCGCTTGAACCCGGGAGGCGGAGGTTGCGGTGAGCCAAGATCGCGCCATTGCACTCCAGCCTGGGCAACAAGAGTGAACTCCGTCTCAAAAAAAAAAAAACAACAAAAAACCCCTGCCAACATTTATTTAGACTCTATGACAAGCACGCTGACAAGATGCCATCATGTTTCCAGTAAAATAAATTCAACAATGAACCGAAAGATGAATATATTCTCTTGAATCAAAGGTCCATATAAATAGGTGGGGGAGGGGAGGAATGCCCTTCCACTCTTAAAAATTATTCTTCCTAAAAATCACAAAGTTTGGTACGACTCTCAAATAGACGATGAAATTAGGAAATTTCCAACACTGCATTTCTAACTTAAAATATTTTTTCTAAAGTAAAAAAGTACATGTTCGTTGTGTGTGTCAGAAGAAGAAATAGGAACTACAAATAAAAGAAACATGTTTAAATGACCATAATCCCAAATTACTCAGCGATAATTACTTGCTGTCAATCCTTCTTAACTTTTCCATGCATTCATAAATACGATGAGACTGTAAATAAGACAAAAAAAAAACAGACCCCGATAATGATCAAAGATCTTCGGCGCAATAGGCAATGTCTAACAACTTCAATGGCTTTCTTCAGGGGATTCTCAACGGGATTTCTTGATCTTTCCCAAAATGCTGGGAAGCCCTTTAAGTTTAAACAAACAAAACCTCCAAACGGGAAGGGATGCCAACCTCTCCTAGGCTGCCTGCAGAGCGGGGAGAAACAGGTCTATCGGAAGAAGAGTAGAGATACTCACCTAAGGAGACTCCTCTCCCGAAAGGAATCTGCTTCTCAGCCCCACCCCCAGCTCACCCCAATCCCACGTAGGTCCGCAGATGCTCCCCCCGGGAAGGACGGGACGACCCCGCAGCCGCGATTCAACGCGGCGCGCCCGGAAGCCAACAGCTACTCCCGGGCTCTGAGCGGGAAGTCCTGCTGCAGGCGCCAGCCCGGACCCGGGAATGCTCCTCCCTAGGGTAGGGAAGCGCGCGGGCGCAGGCGTTTACCTGTCTCATCTTCCCATGGTTCGGGGCGAGCAGGCGTGGACCGCGCTCTGCGCCTACCTCCCTCCTCCTTCCCCAGGAAGGCTCAGGGCAGCCGCCGACGGCTGCTTCCCCGGTTACTACAACAACCAACAAGCAACCGCCCGCTCGGAGCCACTGCGCAGGCGCTCATAACGCTCAGCTGCGGACGCGGGCGAATGTCGTCACCGCCGCGCAGCGCGGGCGCAGAGCCCTGCCCTCAGCTGAAGGGAGTCTTCTTTTTTTTTTTTTTTTCCGCTGTTTTTTTCTCCGCCCCTAAGAGGTTGACTCCAAACCCGGAGTTCCGCTAGGTCCAACAGGAGGGCTTACGGCGTGAGCGGCGTACCTGGGGAGAGGCTTAGGCAGCGGCAACCGCTGATTGGCAGTAAAGGGGTTCACTCCCCATCTCCTGCTCGGGCGAAACCGGGACAGCCAATCAGAGAGAGTACTGACGGAAACGGCCCAATCCTGGAGCAGGGCTGAGGGAGGGGGCGGGGACAAATGGCTCAGGTGGACTCCGGGCTGGAGCTGTCCTGGGGGAGCTTGTTTGCGGCAGCGGCTGCTGCTGCCACTGCTGTGCTGGGGGCCCGGTCGCCAGGTAAGGAGAATATGGGGGAGAAGAGGGATGTAGGTGTCTGTGTTGCTTCTGATTGAGAGGATCCGGAGAGTCTGGAAAAATGGAGGTGGGATGGAAGGAAGATAACTGGAAGGCAACCTTTTGGGGGGAAAAGGTTTCGAGAGGCGATGACAAGGGGGAGCTAGGAAGATGGAGAAGGCTTGGTGAATTCAAGGAACGAAGGAATGGATGAGCGAATGAGCAGCCACTATGAGCCTAGCACTGTACAAAGAGCCTTCACTTTTTGTCATATAATTCTTACAATAGCCCTTCGGGTTGATATTTCTATCTCCATTTTGCAGATGAGGAAACCGAGACTGAAAAGTGTAAATGACTTACCCAGGGTCACACAGCTACTAAGTGGTAGGGCCAGGATAAGAATCCCTTTCTCCTGATTAAGTTTTAACAGCACACCTATGCTGGGCTGGGCTTGGCTGGGCTGGGCCAGGGCCAGGACAAAATTTGGAAATAGATGTTGTATACACTCTAAGAGGCCCTTAAGCTTTAGGGAAATTAGGTTGAGAAATTGGCAGAGCAATTCAGAAGTGCTCAGGCTCTGTCCTCATCAGCTATCTGTTGGGATTTCTAACAGATAACACTTCTGTGAAATGGAAGGCATACTTGTGCAGAAAAGTGGAGAGGTGCATCCATGCAGCTTTTCTAAACCCCGGAGGAGTCTCCTCTTGAGAGAGAGTGAGAAAATAAAGAGGATGGGTGGATCTTGGCCCAAATGATAATGGCCTGTGATGTCCAGTAGACCCTCAGTCTCTCTGATCTTCGACAGAGACCACCTTTGTGATCCAGCTCTCCCTGAAGGGCTCATCAATTCACCCTTCCTTCTCTAGATCTCTTTATTGCTTGTTTGGGGCGGGGAGTTGGCGGGGGGGGGCGGCGGTGTTTCACACTGTCTTGGGCCATTGCTGACTTTAATATCTGTCCCACTGGGTAGCAGAGAACAATACCGAAACTTGTATTGCCAAAGTGACAAAGAAAGCCTGTTAGTTTATTACCACTTCAGGCCCAAGAGGTTAACCTGACAACAGATAAACCGTGGACCAAGAAAATAATAATGAGGATGGGAAAAAGTCATTCCATTATTAGATTATTTATCTATTTTGGTTTTATTTAAATCAGACTAACTGAAATTACTACTCAACAAGAGTTGAACTAAGCCTTAAAAAAAAAAAAAAAAAGGCTGGGTGCTGTAGCTCACACCTGTAATCCCAGCATTTGGGAGGCGAGGCCAAGGTGAGTGGATCAGTTGAGCCCAAGTGGAGAGGTTGAGGTAGGAGGATCACTTAAGCCTTTGATTTCAAGGCTGCAATGAGCCATGACTATGCCACTGCATTCCAGCCTGTGTGACAGAGCAAGACCCTGTCTCAAAAAAATAAATAAATAAATAATAAATTAAAAAACAAAAAGTATGTAATCTAATTGTATTTTCCATACAACTTGAAGACAAAAGTGGATATGGTATGCTTTTCTTTCTCAAAAAATGGGAACTTCATTAAAATAGTCTCAAACAATGAGGTAGCACTGCAGCAGTCCAGCAGACCATGATTCTTATCTCAGCTCTGCCAACTTTGCTGTGTGACCTTAAGAAACTTGTTTAACCTCTCTGTTCCAACCCTCATCTGTAAGATGGAAATATTAATAGTGCCTGCTTACCTCATTGTAAAGATTAAATGGTAATATATGTTAGGTGCTTGGCACAGTTCACGGTGTAAGTGCTCAATGACTGAAACCTATTATTTTCTTGCAACCCAACACCAAGATTGCTGTTTCCTTCGCTATATAATTTTCTTACTAGTCCTAAACTCACACGTTAACTTAAACACACACAATTTATAAATTTGGAAAAAAGGAAAAGAGGCTTTATCTCTTGCAAAGGGTTACAGCCACCCAACAGGGAAGAGTGCCTCCCACCAAGACCAGAGACAGTTACTTTGAAGGAGAAGGGTTTGGGGTAGAGCTTCATGCTGAACAGGTTTGCTAAACATACACATTCGACAGGTTACAGGAGGAGCTGTGAATATTCCTGAAGGTTGTCCTGACACATGCATATTGAACAAACATATGTAACCACATATGAACCCTGTTCACTTTGGAGTGGAGACCTAACATTTAAGTCTATCACACCTAGGCTCTATACGTCAAAAAGTCTTTTCAGGACACCAAGACACTCAAGTGTGTGATCCTGCTAAACTGGCCAGGAGCAGTCCACGGTTGGTGGTCTTATCTGGAGAAAATTACTGAAATCAGTCTCTTGTCCAATCAAAGCTGTAGTTACAACTGGTGGAACAGGGGTCAGGTAGTCAGCCTCTGTGAGCTGGATGAGCTGCAATTGTTTTAATATTGCTTATCTCAAGGCCAGTGTTCATCTAGCTGCTGGAGAAAAAAAAAACCTTGTGGCAGAATATAACTTTTATTCTTTAAATGTAGGAGTGTGTAACTTAACCCTTGCCTGGCATGGCCTTAGGTCTTGTTTATAATTTGGTATCTTATTGCACAAAGAATCTGTTGTGTCATTCTTATGATCTCTATTTTAACTTTAATGCTGGTAAGTTGCTGTCTCTAAACCTGAAAACACAACGAATATAACAGGGCATGTCAGACCTCCCATCTTGTCATGGCCAGGAGCTCAGTTTTAGGATTTTTCTGGGGTCCCCTAGGCCAAGAGGGGCTCTGTTCAGTCCGTGATGGGCTTAGGATTTTATTTGGAGTTGACACACAGCAGTTTATTTTTAACTTTTAGATTGTTCTTCTAGTTTATGGAGCATGGTATACCTGAGAACCAGAGTCCAGAAAACCTAGGGATGTAAATAGTGACCTCACACCATAAGTCCTACTCAAATTTATAAAGTTCCATACACTTGGAAGAATCCGTCATCAATAGCCAGGCAGGTGTCTGTGAGTATAGTTATAATCGCCTTTGAGCTATTTGCATTACGAAGGAATGGCATGAAAACATGAAGGTATAGAAGTAAAGATAGAGGACTGATTCCAACCCAGAAAAAGGAGTTCTGATTTAGGGTAATATTTTGGAGAAATTGCTTAGACAAGGATAAGTACTGTGCCACTTATTGCAAAGTATACTGTTCATTCACCACTATTAGTGTGACTGAATTTCTTTTTTTGGCCTGCTTCATTCTTCCTCCCTTCCTGCTTATGGTTAACATAGACTGGCCCTCATTGTCTCATGTCCTCTGCCTTTGTTTCCAAGGCAAAAAGCCCTCCCACGTTTGAGGGGAGTCATGAGCCGTTTCCTGAATGTGTTAAGAAGTTGGCTGGTTATGGTGTCCATCATAGCCATGGGGAACACGCTGCAGAGCTTCCGAGACCACACTTTTCTCTATGAAAAGCTCTACACTGGCAAGCCAAACCTTGGTAAGAAATCAAAGAATTTCTGCATCCTTTATAGGACTTATAGGACTGGCCCTATGCTGTGGTTCCCAAACCAGGCTGTACATCAGAGTAACCTAGGAAACGTCAACAAACACAGGTACCCATTTCCCTCACCAAACCTATTTATTGAACCTGGGTGGAGCTCAGGAATCCAGTTGCTAAAACACTTCCCAGATGATTCTGATGCTGCCTTAGCTAGCCTTTGGCAGCTACTGGAGTAATAGACTTTGTGGTGAGCACTTGACCCTTTTTCCCCCAAGCTTCTCTGAATACTTTTCATTGATTTTACACTGCCCTGGGCAATTCATGTATTTAAAAAAAAAAAAAAAAAAGCATTATAAGGGCAAGTGAGGAAATAGACTTACTTGGTGACTCTGTGATGCCTGACAAGAAAGCCATAAAGAAGCTTTACATATATCTCAAAGCCCTCTTCAGAATCAGGTTTACATGATTCTGGGGCTTACATGACTCATATTCCATGTTACAGATGGAGAGTTATTAATTCAAGGTCTTCCGTGACATAGTCCCTGAGAAGGTATTTAAAATCCCTTCAAGTTGGTCTCCCAAAATGAAACTTAAGAAGGCCCATGGCAGCCTTTCCTGGCTTCCTGAGCCTCTCTACTGAGAGTGTCCATTTCAGCTTCCACTTCATCACGCTGATGTGTGGGGTAGTTTAAGCTGCAGCACTGTTTCACAGCAGATGACAATTCTGTGTCACATTTATAGCTAACCCAGATTCAGGCTCTGACCTAGCTCGTTTTTCTGCAGTGTCTGAGTATAAAATGAAATTAAGTAGGCTAAGGCTCATTTTAAGAAAGCTCAAATATAATAAGAGTAAAGAACCTGGGAAAGTGAGCAGAATAATTCCATCTTTTCACCTTCAAATGCTGCCCTCAGGTGGTCATGGAACCCTATATAGATTCACACATTTTTAGAGGTCATCTGGTCTAGCCCTTTGAGTTTAAAGTTGAGGCAAAGAGGTCCAGAGGTCATGTGACTTAAAGGCATATAGCTGAGCAGAACTTTATGTGTGTGTGTGTGTGTGTGTGTGTGTGTGTGTGTGTGTGTGTGTTCAGCCAGCACGGAAGCTGAGGCTGCCATCTCCCTTGTGATCTAGGGGCCTTCATGGTACTCTTCTGAAAGTAGCAGTGCTCTAAAGTGTCCCACAGAATTTCACCTCATACCTAATCTGGTTAGGGCTGGTTGAGTACTCTTAACTAGAGAAACGTCCTTAGTCTTCTCATTATCAAATTGGTTTATAAAGAATATAGCTATCCAGGGCTAATGCTAGATATTTGGTTGGCATATGGAATTTTTTCTCACTACCATCTAATGGTCTTCAGTATTGTGAATTTGGGAGAGCTGTCTGATTTTCCAAAGGCTGGAAAAATCCTTAAAGCCCAAGTAAACATTAGTAGACTTTTCAGTTGTCAATTTTGTCCCTTAAAATTTATCTTACTCAGCAGGTAGTAGACCAGCAAAGGAAGTATCTTTGCTTTCACTGTTTTGGCATCCCCGAGCCACTGGATGCCTTAGCTCAATGGTTTTGCATTTAAATTACCCAAACAGGGAGTTTCTAGAAAATACTTATGCCTGGGGCCCTCCTCCAGAGAATACGATATAGTTGGTCTGGTACCCAGGCCTTGTAATTTTATAAAACTACCTCAGTTGATTGTAATAAATGCCCAAAGTCAAGAACCACTGTTATGGTGGAATATGACCTATACTTTCAGGACAAGATATTTAATACAGCAATGTCAGAACAAAGCTACCAACAGCAGGATGCCCCCAGCAAACACCAAAGAAACAGTGCTTTGTCCCACTGCCATGCACACAGGAAACCAACCTGGTATTGGTTCATCCAACAGCATAGATCTGGATGCAGGAAGAGACCCAGGCACTCACATATCTTAAAGACCATATATGGGCATCTAAATTGGTCCCCAGTATCTCTGAGTTCTCTCCTGGATCAGCCTTGAAAGTCTGCTGGCCTCCTGGGCATCTTGCATTTCCAGATCAGTCTCTACAACGTTCCCCAAAACCTGTCCTGATCCAGACCCTCTAGGCTTCCAGGACAAAAGGGGTAAATTACTATATCTAGGAGTTATTTGCCTAACTGGGCTCTTTGTGGGTTTCCACTCTTGGAACTTCCCTTCCAACTGTAGACATTTGAAGAGAATCTGAGAAGTTCTCATTCTGGAATTCCTTCTATTCCTTCTAGTTCCCATGTTGCCACTAGGACCTCCATCCTGCCCAGCCACAGAGAGGTCAGGTCCAGCTCCCTATCTCCCATGAACCACCAGTGAAATAGGAGGAGTTTGGAAGGAACCTCAAGTCTCCCCTTCTGAACACTCTTGCTTTTTTCTGCTACACAGTGAATGGCCTCCAAGCTCGGACCTTTGGGATCTGGACGCTGCTCTCATCAGTGATTCGCTGCCTCTGTGCCATTGACATTCACAACAAGACGTATGTAAGGGAAGGAAGAGCTTTAGCATCCTTTTGTTGGAAATCAGATGCGAGGCATACCTGTTACCTTGAGTAATGGGAACTGTTAATCATTTTAATGCATTAGCTTAGAATGTGAATAATAAAAAACTCACAGGTTACATTCCCTCCAAGCCTAGAAAACATAGTAGACCTAACAGGTCTTCATTAAAGTCTGAAAATTCTTTGGAACTGACATAGCAAACTGGCAGGCCATTATCCAGTGGCCTGCATCATGCCCCTCCACTTCTTTATGAAAGAATCAGCCCTTCTTCTACTAAAGAAGTAGAGTGGTATGCTCTTTTTAGAGTAGCCACCCACACATACCTTTCTCACATTCCTCCTTAAGAAGCAGGAATGAACAGAAATCACAATCCATGAAAAAAGAGGAACCCACAAGTAAACTGTTGTATGTGTATGCAGCATCAGCAGGTGAGGGTGAAAGAGAAGCTAGGGCTCCTGAATCTACCTGTCTTGGGTACTCAAACAGACCAGGGTGGAACAATTGCAGGCAATCAGAAGCCATAACCAGTGCTGGCCACTAGAGGGGGCTCGAGCTTTCTTCCCAGCGGGAGTCATCATCACACTCTAGGTGGAAACAGTTTGTTCAGGTCACCGAGGGAGGCTATCTGAATGCCAACTTCACATTAAAATGTTTTTCTGTCTTATCCAGGCTCTTGGCATCTGGGGAAAACAGGAGGCGATAATATTTATTGAGCCCCTCTTATTATGCTGAGCTTTTATCTACGTGATCTTGATTAAGTCTTTTCTTAGCAGCCCTGGAGGTCATGATTTTCATTCCTGATTTTGCACATCTAAATATTAGAGATACAGTTAGTTTAAAGAAAGACTGACTCAAGTGAGATTTGAAGCAGGGCTATTAGCCGTTTGATCTCTTCAACCTTATTTTTTTTTTTAATTTTTTTTCAAACTTGAACCTGCAGTTTACTTGTCCTAGAATGACACATACTTTTGGAAGCAGTGTGTTTAGTTCTGGGCCCAGTTCTGTTGGTAACTAGCTTTGCAGTAGCAAGTCCATTATTCACCTTCCTTGCACCTTGGCCTCTTCATCCATAAAATGAGAATAGATATCTGTTCTACCTCTCAGGGTGACTAAGAGGAAGGGAGGATTGAACAATCATTTTAAAGACCTGTACCACAATGAAGAATTGCTGATGAGTATGAGGGATATATCTTTTGATTGTTGTGCTTTTGAAGTGAGCGAAGACAACCCAGACTTATCTCTTTTTTTTTTTTTTTCTGAGACAGTCTTGCTCTGTCACCCAAGCTGGAGTACAGTGGCACAATCTCAGCTCCCTGCAACCTCCACCTCCGCCTCCTGGGTTTAAGCCATTCTCCTGCCTCAGCCTCCCCAGTAGCTGGGATTACAGGCGCGCACCACCATGCCCCTCTAATTTTTGTATTTTTAGTAGAGACAGGTTCTCACCATGTTGGCCAGGCTGGTCTCGAACTCCTGACCTCGTGATCCACCCACCTTGGCCTCCAAGGTGCTGGGATTACAGGCTTCAGCCACTGTGCCCGGCCTGACCCAGACTTATCTTTACCTCAGTTACCATTTACTTTCACCTCTCCCCACACAGGACAGCTGCAAACGCTGACTCCTGTTTCTAGACCTTTCTAGCCTAGGACTTTGATCGATGCACTTCTGATGTGCATTCTGATCCTATTCCCTCCCTAACTAGAGACTGAAAGTCAACACACATACATATTGTTTCCACAATGGGCCAGGCGCGGGTGGCTTCTGCCTGTAATCCCAGCACTTTGGGAGGCCAAGGTGGGCAGATCACTTGAGATCAGGAGTTTGAGACCAGCTTGGCCAACATGGCGAAACCCCATCTCTACTAAAAATACAAAAATTAGCTGGGCGTGGTGGTGTGCACCTGTAGTCCCAGCTACTCCAGGAGGCTGAGGCAGGAGAATCACTTGACCCAAGAGGCGGAGGTTGCAGTGAGCCAAGATTGTGCCACTGCACTCCAGCCTGAGAGACAGAGCAAGAGTCTGTCTCAAAAAAAAAAAAAAAAAAAAAAAAGGTGTAAAAATATGCACAGGAGAGATACAAATCAAATGTAAGATACCAGTTACTTGTGGGGATGAGGGAGAACAGACTTAGAGCAGGATAAGTATACACAGGATGATTTAACTCTTCTCTGTAAGTTTTTATTAGAAGAGTCTGAAACAAAATGTCAAGATGTTAAGATCTGAGGGAGCTGGGTGTTGGTTGCATTGGTGTTCATTATAGTGTTCAGTAATTTTTTTGTATGTTTGAAGTATTTCATAATTTTAAAAAATTTTATACTAAAAAGATATCAGCAAACAAAGTGGTCAGTCACCTAGTAGCCTGTCTCTTCTCTACCTTATAGTCAAAGCTGAAAGATAAGTTCTTTTCCCATGAGGTTGTCACCATGTCCTCAATGTGACTACTTTTCTAGGCTAAGGCACAAAGTAACCAACGTATATTGCAAGAGCATCTAAAAGCCCCAGAGGTGTCCTTGCTCCTTACTCCCCATGAGGCCGTTCGTTCTGTGGCATCCATCTTATAAACACCGACAAGTGCATGGCCAGATGCCTGCCAGGTGGGATTAGACTGCAGAGTCAACCAATTTGGATAAATAGAATATGTAAGCGTGCTGGATCCAAAGTTGTCTACACTGCCTGCGATTGTCATCATTCAGGCTCTGCTTTGCTATAGCTGAGTTCACCACTTTGCTGAGACCTGGACGTTCATTCTGGATGCCTGAACCATTCTCCTCTCAGTTTAGCAGTTGAAACCTTCAGTTTTGCCCTAGATGAGAATATCGTTGTGATCAAATAACCAGCTCTTCCTCAGGAACAAGTGTCCTTTCTTTTAAGTCTTAATGACATCCTGGGTTCTTATTTGTCTGTATGAAGTCTGATACTTTTCCTCTGTTCTGAACAAACAGTAACTTTGGTTCCCATTTCTGTCTGCTTCCTTATAGGCTCTATCACATCACACTCTGGACCTTCCTCCTTGCCCTGGGGCATTTCCTCTCTGAGTTGTTTGTCTATGGAACTGCAGCTCCCACGATTGGCGTCCTGGCACCCCTGATGGTGGCAAGTAAGCATCCAACCACCCTAGACCTCCTACAGGAGCTGTGCCAGCTCTAGAGCTAGTACAGAGGGTGGACACAGGAGAGAGAGAGAAGAAAGGTACCGTATGTATGTTAGTCACTAGTCTTTCCTCTGTATTTAAGGTTTCTCCATCCTGGGTATGCTGGTCGGGCTCCGGTATCTAGAAGTAGAACCAGTATCCAGACAGAAGAAGAGAAACTGAGGCCAGCATTATCACCTCCAGGACTTTCTCGTTTTCCACCTTGGCCATCTTCTTCCTTCGTCGTCTCTCCTCTTTAATTTCTTTTCTATTCCATCATCTGCCCTTTTATTCACTTTTAGCCTCTTTTTTTAATTTTTAAAATTTAAAGATATGCATACTGAAAAGTATATAACATGTACGTACAATTTAAAGAATAATTTTAAAGTGAATACTACGTAACTCCATCCAAGTCAAGAAATTGCCAGCTTCTCGGAAGCCCACTGTGTCTCCTTCCCCTACCTGCAACCTCTTCCAGGCTCCCTTTTCCAGCCTTCCCCTTTTTCCCTTTTATTTTCATGCCTTGATTTGACTTGTGTGGTGGGAACATGTGAACTATGAAACTTAAACCTGCTGCCCACCCAGAGCAGCTGTGACCAAGGGCTGCCTCAAGGGGTTGTCCACGCAGGTTGGGCTCCTCTCTGCTGCTGGACCCAAGACTCTGAACCTTCCAAGGGACAGGCAGTTCTTCTAAGAAGGGCTCCCCTGTGTGTGAGCAAGACCACAGCTCTCCTTCTATCTACAGATGCATGAGGGTTGGAAGAGTCTGGGCTGTTTTTAGACCTTCTGGTCAGCTGTATTTGTGTAACAACTTTTGTAATAAATAGAAAAACCCTCTGCTCTGATCAGTTCTTGTACTTTGACCTCTGCTAAGACAAGAGCATGGCTGCCTCCTCTGAGCCCTAGGAGAATCACAGCTTTATGCCTGATTGAATACACCATAGTGAGTAGGACAGCTCATGACACAGGTCAGCCTGGCTGCCTCCGGCTCCTTACTGTCATTTGCTCATTCCTCTTGTATTCTTGAAGTCAAATCTTCTTTTTTCTCACCTTCAAGAGTCTGCGTTCACAACTAAACACTAAGTGCCCTTTCTTATTTCCTCCTAAAGAAGAAACAGATTCTTGAGAGAGCAGAGACAAAAAAATAGAACTAGGCAGCATAGATGAAACAACTGCATGACATGGGAAGAAGACAACTAAACCCCGAGGAGAATGCACTGGAATGGACAGTTGCTCTTAAACCCTACCCAGAGGGCCTCCCCCAGCTGGACCCTCATACACAGTGTGTGTATCCAAAAGGCCATTGCTATTTCAGCAAATATTTGTTGAGTACTTCTCCATGCCGGACACTTGGGAAAGAGAAATGAACGACACAGGCAATGCCCCTGCCCTGTGGGCCTTATATTATAGTCAAGGTAACAGAATCAACAAGCCAACACAAAAATAAAGAACTTCAAATAGGGATAAGAACTCTAACAAACACAAGGTATTTTGGTCAAGAAGGAATGTGGGGTGGGCAGTGGGGAACGTAACTTAAATTAGATCATCAGAAAGTCCTCCCTGAGGAGATGGGATTTTTTTGTTTTTTAGAGACAGGGTTTCACTCTGTCACCCAGGCTGGAGTGCAGTGGCACAATCACACCTCACTGCAGCCTCAACTTCCTGGGCTCAAGTGATCCTCCTGCATCAGCTTCCCAAGTAGCTGGGACTACAAGTGTGTACCACCACATCCAGCTAACATTTTTGGGGGTGGGAAGAGATGGGGTCTTACTATGTTGTCCAGGCTAAGAGGTGGGATTTGAGCTGAGACTTGAATGCCCAGGAGTTAAATGTCTTAAGATATGGAGCAGGCCGTTAGAAAGGAGGGAGCAGCAACTGGAAGGTAGAATAGTCTTATTCAAGGAATAAGAACTATGTAATCACAGCATGGTGAAGAGTTAGGAAGTGAAAGAAAAGGTCAGAAAAGGAGGCAAGGGGCTTATAAGGGTGTGATAAGAAGCTTGATGTTTACACTTAAATACATTGGGAATTCTCTTATCAGTTAAGTCTCTTTAGGTGAAAGGACAAAACCTACCTTAAACTAGCTTAAACAATAAAGATAGCTGGCTCATATAACTGAAAAATTACAAGATTAGCTTCAGGAAGGGTTTGATCAAGACTCCAGCTCCATTTCTTTACGATTCTTTCAGCACTACCTATGTGTGCTGGCATCCTCAGGCTGACTTCTTTTATGGTACCAAAGTTGGTTGCAGAAATTCCAGGCCTCATATGCCCAGAACACTGTATCTAGAAAAATATCTCAATGGTAAGAACTATCTTTTCTTTACTTGTCAGCTATATTGTTAGGAGGCAGTAAAAAAGCAGTGATGACAGTTAATGTTTGAACACAGATCCACATGAAGACCTTATGAAAGGAGTGAATGAAAACATTGGATGATTTAGGTCCTCTGAGCATGTGTCATGAAAATGTGATGCCCTGGCCGGGTGTGGTGGCTCACGCCTGTAATCCCAGCACTTTTGGGAGGCTGACACGGGCAGATCATGAGGTCAAAAGATCGAGACCATCCTGGCCAACATGGTGAAACCCCGTCTCTACTAAAAGTACAAAAATTAGCTGGGCATGGTGGCGTGTGCCTGTAGTCCCAGCTACTTGGGAGGCTGAGACAGGAGAATTGCTTGAACCAGGAAGGCGGAGGTTGCAGTGAGCCGAGATTGCGCCATTGCACTCCAGCCTGGCGACAGAAAAAGACACCATCTCAAAAAAAAAAAAAAAAAAAAAAGTGATTCCAGATTAGTAAAGGCAGGGACCCAAAGGATCTAAAGAGATGTACAGTTAGAGTATTTAGCAGACACTATGGATATTAGATTTCTTAACAGCCCAGGCTTGGGTCCCTTCCTAGATCATTTAAAATAGAATCATAATATTGTTCCTCCCCAGCTACGAGTTGCTATAAATATGATGCTAGAATACCACAGGCACAGTACAACTCTCTATGGAAAGAATGTACAGAACACAGATGATAGTAGCAGCATATTCAAGTAACACGCACAAGGTGATCACAACTGGGGAGGGATGAGTAACAGGACGTTGGCCAGTTAGGAAGAAAAATGGTAACGCAAGACTGCAGCTGCTGGGACTGAGCCATGGGCCCCAGCCACAGCAAGCTGATGCATGGCTGAGGTAATCAGAGAACAAACATTTCAACCACCCTTTGAGGCAGAGCCAGAAACAACAGTGGACTCTCTCATCAGCAGTCACTCACATTCCAGCGCGTACACAGCATGGAAAGAGGTCAGGGTCGTGCTGGATGTTGAGTTGCAGTCCCTCCATGTAGGCAAACAGTAACCTTTACAGCCTTGTCTTTAAAAAATATCCCTCCCAGATGGTAAGGTCTGGCAACAGTGAGATGCTCCTGTGGAAGACCACAGTTGCTGCTTCTCTAGCCTCACACTCCCCCGCCCCAGCCCAGCCCTTCCCCACACCTAAGACAGGAGCCTCAGGAATGTGTGACAGTCTTGCAGGGACTTCTAAGAGCCATCTCTGCCCCACTGAATGATAAGGCAGACCACTTTCTGAGAAGTTTTTATTGCCTCGAAATGTCAGATCTTACAAATAGAAAACACAAATTATGTTTTTAAAATAAAGCAATAGGTTTGGTAAACATTTTGTTAATACCTTTTGAAGGGTTTATGAGTAAACATCTTTCTCTTTATCAAAAAGTAAAGCACACCCTCACCTCTCTTCCACACTGACTCACTACTTCTGCCGAAAACGTGGACTTCTTTCTTCTATTACATACAGCATGTTCCTTGCATCCATTGCTTGAATCTGTACAAACACACACACACACACATGCAGACACACACAAACCTGGCTCCTCTCAGGCAGTGGCCCAAGCACCACAGTATTGCAGCCAGCACAGGCTGCCCTGATATGCTGAGGCCAGGGCAGTGGCTGGAGCAAGACAGCACAGTGGTCACGATCACAGTTGCCCAATGCATAGGAAAAATTACCAAAACCTCATTTTTAGGAGATATTACCAAAGCCCATGAGTACAGCCAAACAGCAGGCTAGATAGGAAAGATCAGCTTGAGTTGGTTTAAAGGGAATCCCTTTAAGTTTAGAATATCTGATAAAGATTATCGCTCAAAGCAGGTGAGGAGAGGGGTTGGTGGTGCAAATACTGTCCCCAGCAGAGGTGAGATAAGCTTTTAATTCTAACAGGCTCAATTCCCATTTCAAGGGGCACCTTTCCTTCTACCCCTTCCCTCTTATCTCTCAGAAGCACCTTTGGATTTTCAGAGTAGAATGAATCAAGATTAGTTTTCAGCAAAGGTTAGAGTAAGTTGACGGGGATTACCCTGCCTTGGAATAAAACAAGCACTTGGGCTGATGGCTGAGATTCCCAATGCAACATCAAGATAAAGGCATCAGAGGTGACTGTGACACACAGAAGTCCCTGGGGAAGTACTTCTGTAAAAAAGAACCTTCCCATTCCCAACTCAAGCTACCAGAGTTCCCAAATATGTGCTTTCACAAATATACTCAGAAGGTAGCCCCCAGCATGATCACACCTAGGTAGGTAGCCCTCCTGAGTCGGTATCTCTGTCATGGCCACAACAAAGTCTTTTGTCAAGTTTATTATGGTTGGTTTGCTCAGCTCTTAGGAAAGAGGGTTTGGAGACAGACCCGTTAGGCCAGGAAAATTTAGGCCCACAAGTCCCGGTGGAGCTGTTCTGATGGAGTTGTTCTAATGGTGCTTCCTCTCCTGCAGAACTTGAGCAATCAGTCCGATGACCCAGGAGATGACCCCGGCAGAGCAGCTTGCCACTTATTAGAACTGGGCTTCATGAGAGGCTCTTAGGACACTGGAAATTTCAAGTTAATATCCTGAATAGGCTTTCTTCCTGTGAAAATTTTGCAGGCATTGTCCACGATGGATGGAGGAAAAGAGGGAAGGCAAGAGACCAAGCTAGGATTGACTCCAATATTCTCTGCCACCCTGTCCCAACACCAACTCCCATAACCTAAAAGGGGGTGGAGGTGGGAATCAAATTTGCATTTGGTGATAGGTGCAATTTTCTCCAACTAAATCATCCAAGCTCTTACGTGGGTTCTAGGAGGAATAGGCCATCCATGCCACAAATAGTCCCACTGATTCCCTCCAAAAACATCTCTAGCGAAGCCCTTTGTGCTGGCGGTGAGAGCTGTGCTGAAGGAAAAGGTGGGGTGTTCGTGTTCCCTGAGTTGTCACCACCTTCCTCTCAGAGATGATCCTCTGACACAGCAGTGGGCACTTTGCTGGTGTTGCTCTCCTCCTCCTCCTCTTGGAGTTTCTATAAAGCAAAACAAACAGGCAGTGCTGTGGGTAAAGGCACAGCACTCCACCCTGGCTGGAGCAGCTGCCTGGCCATGACTAATCAGTGGGGAATACAAGAGCCGGGGGCCACTCAGCATCCCAGAGAGCCAAGAAAGAGAACAAGAAAAGAAGCAACCAGCCCCTGCCATAAATGCACCCACAAACACACACCACCCAACATCATGAGGTCATCAGAGGGAAAAAGGGGCAAGCTTTCTATGATGCCAAGGCCACCACAAATGATCCAGCTCCGAGTGCCACTCTTTCAGGCTCACTCTCGGGACTGAAACAGAAGCAAAGCCCCTTTTCCCTCCACATTCTGACAGCTGAAAACTCACCTCAACTAACCATCAAATCACTGTCCAAGGTGCCAGGTCTGCGATTCCCTTGGAATTTCCAACAACCCCCACTTGGAGGCAGCCCCAGGATGAGGAATACTTTTTTTTTTTTTTTTTTTTTTGAGATGGAGTCTCACTTTGCTGCCTAGGCTGGAGTGCAATGGCGCGATCTCGGCTCACTGCAAACTCCGCCTCCCAGGTTCAAGTGATTCTCTTGCCTCAGCCTCCCAAGTAGCTGGGATTATAGGTGCCCACCACCATGCCCAGTTAATTTTTGTATTTTTAGTACAAACAGGTTTTCACCATGTTGGCCAGGCTGGTCTCGAACTCCTGACCTCAGGTGATCCACTCACCTTGGCCTCCCAAAGTGCTGGGATTACAGGCGTGACCCACCGCGCCCAGCTGAGGAATACTATCATAATGAACATGCAGTAGATGCCAAAGCAGCATGCATAATTGCATATGTAAGCTCAATGGCTTTAGCTTTCTAGGGGAGGGATGGCACAGGATTCATTTACAGGAAAGTCTTCTAAGTCACACTTTTTAGGTGAGTTTGGAATTCAACATGGCCTGGAAATTATCCTGTGGGGCCCCTAGGTACATACTGCCAACCTGGGCCTTTGTCTACTGTTTTAAGAAGTACTTTGTCTGTGACCTCAAGGGTTCTTCTGATTCACAAGAAGGCCTTGGGCACAGGTGCAGCACCACACAGCCAACACTACTCAAGGCCTAGAGGACATGCACAGGGCTAAGACAGAAGCCAATGTCAAGTGGACAAATGGTGCTTTCTTCCCCAGGGAGTGTCTCAGTGCCTGTTTGTGGTAATGGAGACAGCTGTAGAATCCAACCTTCCCATTCTCAATCTTGCTAACACTTGGCATCAAGTCAGCCTCAGCCATGAGGAGCCATCATTCAGGAAACTAACAGCCTATTTCAGTCACTTAGTCTCCCCTCTCTCTCTGACACACACACACACACACACACACACACACACACACACACACACCACGCCCGCCTCCTCCAAAGCCATCACCTGGAAATCACAATCACAAATGGGAAACAAGTTAGTGGAGACAGAAGTGCAACTACTGTCTATGTGCTAGAAGAAAAATGGAAACCCAAACCAGTAAGATGTTCATAGTCAAGGTCAATCATTACCCTGTCCCAGAAGTCCCATCTCTTTTTCCCTAAACTATACATCTCACTGATTAGAAAGAGCAGGTCTGGCCAGATCTGCCGTGTGCCCAGTCTTCACCTGACTCTGACAATGAATTTGTCCACAGGTCTCTGAGTTACACCAGCTGCCATGGGGTGCGTAATGTCACGGCTCCAGAGGAGGGCTGCTCTGTGATGGCCCTGGCTTCCTTGCTGGTGTCAGTCCCAGCATGACTTTGACCCCCCATAATACCATGCTGCCACAGGTGCCAGGGAGGTCTACAGACACATAGTGAATTATCCAGGGACACAAGACAGGTGAGCACCATTTATTGGAACCTAAGGCTGTTATTCCTACTCAGCGCTATTTCCAGCACCCCACACTCAAAAGAGACTGAGCCAACAATTGTAACCTTGATTAACAAACCTGGTCCATGTACACAAAGAGCTGGCTGCAAGAATAATGAAATAGTGGAACAACTGAAATATTGAGTGAGATGGAAATACACAGTAGACATGAGGTTGTGGTATAATGTAACACTGTAGAAATGTTATCAAGCTATACTAAGTAAGCAGGGTAGAAAACAAAATATACGCAAGCATGTCCATAGATTACAACACTGGAAATGCTACTAGGTTATCTCTGGGAAGCAGGATTATAGGTGATTTTTATTTTCTTTGTTTGCCTATGTCTGCCAACATAAACACAGGTTATAAAGTCAACACAGCAAATCTTATGTCACTTGACATAATACGTCACGTTCCAAACTGAAACCTTTCACTAGGCTATACATATATTTACCCAAGTGTACCAAATCATTTCTCTCTCTCTCTTTTTTTTTTTTTCGAGATGGAGTCTTGCTCTGTCACCCAGGCTGGAGTGCAATGGCATGATCTCAGCTTACCGCAACCTCCACCTCCCGAGTAGCTGGGATTACAAGCGTGCGACACTAGCCTGGCTAATTTTTGTATTTTTAGTAGAGATAGGATTTCACCATGTTGGCCAGGCTGGTCTCAAACTCCTGATCTGCCCACCTTGGCCTCCCAAAGTACTGGGATTACAGGCATGAGCCATCGCGCCCGGCCAGTGTACCAAATCATTATGTCCCCTTGTACACAGTGTGGGTGAAAAATCCATCTCCACAGTGGCCATACTATGGCCCTGACACAGAATTAAAGAATGTCATTCCTGCTGAAAGGCCTTCCCTGTCTCCCCAGTGAATTTCCTGTTCTAGGCTCCTTCTTCCACATGCTTTTCTGCTGCTGCCTGCCAACTCTAGAACGTAATAGCAAAAGACAAATAGTAAAGACCTAAAGATTATCATCTATCTGCCAACACAGATCCTTCAAACACTAAAAATATCCCTTACAGATATCTCTTGCCTTAGAAAATTGGCGAAGATTTTTCAAAATGAAAAATACTCAGTGTTGGCGCTCATATGACTGCCTAGCAATAGAAATTGCTAGTACTCAAAGTACCTTTCTAGAGGACAGTTTAGCAACACATACCAAAGTCTTTGAAATGGGCATGACCATTATTCCATTTCTCCAGGAAATATGGTACTTGAGAACATGCACAAAGATTCAGCTTCCAACATATTAATCACAATATTATTTGTAACAATTCAAAACAACCTTAATGTCCACAGACAGGAAAATTGCTAAATAAATCATGGCTTATCCGTATAAAGGAACACTATGCAGGCATTAAAAGTATGTTGTAGGCCAGGTACAGTGGCTCACTCCTGTAATCCCAGCACTTTGGGAGGCCAAGATTGGTGGGTCATTTGAGGTCAGGAGTTTGAGACCAGACTGGCCAACATGGTGAAACCCCGTCTCTACTAAAAATACAAACATTAGCTAGGCATAGTGGCGTGCACCTGCAATCCCAGCTACTTGGGAGACTGCGGCATGAGAATCACTCGAACCCGGGAGGCAGAGGCTGCAGTGAGCTGAGATTGTACCACTGCATTCCAGCCTAGGTGACGGAGCAAGACTGTGTCTCATAAAAAAAAAGTATGTTGTAAGAGACTAGTTGCCTGATAAAGTGCTTGCAATAAGTGAAAAAAGCAGTTTTATTTCTGTTTAAAAATATGCATTTATATACACACATTCATATATCCACGTATATATTATAAGTGGATACAGACATGCAGCAATCAATGCAAAAAAGGCATCTCATCTCTAAATGATGAAATTACAGGATGATTTTTAAATTTTGTACACTTTTCTGTATTTTTTACTTATTCTACAAAGAGCATGTATTACCTCTATAAGTTTTTTTTTAATTTTTGAAGAAATATCTTACCTTTGCTCTTTCTCAGATTTGAAATTCCTTTCATCATCACTCAGATTTGATACCTAACATTTTGTTTAAAGTGGTTCCCAGCTGGTTAGAACAGATGGAAAACACTTTTCTGTTCTAGGTCATACTCCTGGTCCTCTCCTCTGCTACCTCGCCAGCTCCTGCTTCCTGACTTGTCCTTTCAGAGCCCCACTGGCAATTCTTTGGCTCCGTCCCCATGGCCCTGCCTAAGGAGTTGTCACATGCCAGGAGAGTCACAGCCTTAGGGCCAGCACTGCCATGACAGAGTGGTGGAGCCAGGCTTCCCCTTCCTCCCCAGCCACTGACCCCAGGCTGAAAACAGTGGAGCCAGAGCCTCAGGACTCGGCTCAAGATCCAGTCAGGGGTGCTGTTCAGCAGACTGTGACAACGGTGACACACTCTGGGGATGAGGCCGGGGGCTCCAGAAAGAGGGCAGGAAGTGGGAGAAGAGTCCAAGAAAGGGTAGCAGTAGCAAGAACGCAATGCCAAAGATGCCCACTGAGGAAAGTCTTAGGATGCCATGTGTAAGGGATGAACTGGTCTCCCAGCTATGACAAAACCAGTCCCTGTGGGAGTTCTCCCTGCCCCATCTATGTTGCCACATCCTCATCAAAAGCCTTGGACCCCGATCTCAGCCCCACAAAGCTCCCATATACTCACGTTCTCAAGAGTTTCTTTGTTTGCTTTCTGTCTCCGGAGATCTGCCTTAATGAATGCTAAGGTTGATAGATTGAGAAGGAAGAGAGACAAAAATACAGTTATCACGTTCATCCGAGAGAAGAAACCTTCATTTCCTAAGGGTCACAGGTATCCCAAACTTACTTCAGATAGTCAAGAGAGCTGGTGACTGAGGGCACCATCAGCCAATTTGAGAGAGCCCGAGGATCACTGCCGTCCCTGACAGGCAGAAGCCAACAATGACAGTGGCCTTCACTTATGGATCAGGGACTTTGCACACATTGCTCTAATCATCACAACAATCCTCATTTTACAGATTAAAAACTGAGGTTCCCAGAGGTTGGTCCACTTATCCAAGGTCAATAGCTATGGAAGTCATTGTCACAGTCTGGGATTCCAACATGAGTCTTCTGGCTCCAAAACCCATGCTCATTCTACCAAAACAATGTGCTGCCTCCCAACAGATTCCCCAACAAACCCTTCCATCTGTCCCCCTACGTACGTACTCCCTATCTGTTGCTCCATCGAGACACTAGGGTCCCAAATGGCCAACCTGAGCCTCATCTTGCCCTCAGGCTCCAACTCACCAGTGAGGGCTGCTCCAAGAGTAAGGAACACACACAGGAAGATGTTCCCAGGCTTGGTTCCATAGTTGTCAATAATCTGGCCCTGGGAGATGGTAAAGATGATCCCAAATACCTGGAAAGGCATAAAGAAGATAGGAAACAAGGGCCCAGTCAACTAACTCATGAGGAAGAACTGAGCTGCCATGATGCAATGCCTTCCCAGCCAGGAAACAAACAGGAAATACGAGCTCTACCTGTGCAGATATGTTGAGGAGGCCGGAGGAGATGCCTTCTGATTCTGGGTACGTGAGCTCCACAGCAAACTCAAATCCCAGTGGGAGATAGCCAGTCATAAAGAAGCTGAAGACCAGACCAGAGAAACAAGGGGATGAAGAACTTCCAGAACAAGAAGGATGGGGAGCCCACCTCCTCCCCTAGGACTCCCTTTGCTGTTTTGTTTCTTCCCACCAAGACATACTAGGCCCTCTAATGATCTGGGCATCCTCTATGTGATCATACCAAGGAGACGGGCACCCCTGAAGGCCAGGAAGAAGTTCACAGGGAGACCTTGTGCTCAGCAGGCCTCTGGGATCCCTTGCTGCTTCTCCATCTTGCCATCAGTGACAGCCAGTCAGCATTTACAGAAGGGGCAAGGATGCCTGGTGTGTTCAACCTTCAGCTGAGAGACTATGTCCTGGGTACACAGGCCCTGTGCTGGGAGTGGGAACTTCCTGGATATTGAGCAGGATCTCCGTGGCTCTCTGGGACCTGGAAGGAGGAGCTTAGAGTCCTCCTTATTTCCATCCAGAGAGGAACCAGCTGAGGACTGAGTGCCAGCACATGCTCTCTCCCTCTTTCTCTCTTTCACATGCACATACAGACACACACACACACACACACACACACACAAACACTCATATACTGCCCATAGGAAAATAACTGGGAAGCAGAGCTGAACAAAGACTCCTGTGAAAGAGGTATTGTTTCCTATGTTTTCTCATACAACAGGTCTAGAAAATTCCAACTTTAATTTCTCCTTTTTTTTTTTTTTTTTTTGAGACGGAGTCTCACTCTGTCTCCCAGGCTGGAGTGCAGTAGTTCGATCTTGGCTCACTGCAACTTCCGCCTCCCAGGTGCCAGCGATTCTCCTGCCTCAGCCTCCCAAGTAGCTGGGACTACAGGTGTGTGCCACCATGCCTGGCTGATTTTTGTATTTTTTAGTAGAGACGCGGTATCACCATATTGGCCAGGCTGGTCTTGAACTCCTGACCTTGTGATCTGCCTGCCTTGGACTCCCAAAGTGCTGGGATTACAGGCGTTAAGCCACCGCACCCGGCAACTTTAATTTCTTACATTTTCACAATGCTTCTTGATGCTTTCATATCTATTATCTTTCTCAATCTGTCCAACAACTTGACAAGGCAGGCCACTATTATCTTTCTTTACAGATGAGGAAATTGAGGCTCAGAATGGTTAAGTGCTGTGCCCATGGTCTAACAGGTAGGCAGCAGCAAAACTGAGACCAGGACCCAGAGTCTCTGGTTCCAAGCCCTGTGTACTTTCCACAATCCCATGTTGTCCAGGCAAAACTGAAAAAGACTCTGAACAGGTTCTAGCCTCCAAGAGGTCGCGAAGGGTGTGCTTCATGCTTCATTCCATCCCAAAAGAACAGACAGCCCAGGCTGCCTTTGGAAGTACTACAAGTATTACCGAGACCCCTGGGCACCATGTCCATATCTCCTGAGGTCAGTTAGAAGGCAGCAAAGGCATCAATATTGCATTCTAGGATGCTGGAAGCTCTGGGAGCCATGGCATGGTATTTTCTAATAAATCAGCCAGAGGTGAAACTTACCCCATTGTGCCAGCAGTGATGAACACTACCCACAGGTGTCCCAGGTTCAAGGTAAACGTGTACACCACCATGCCCACCAGTGTCATGATATAGACTACCAGGGTTGTCTCTCTACAAGTAGAGGCAAAGAAATTGAATCAAACACTTCTGACTTTAATAGGCTCATTCATTCATTTATTCCACAAGCATCTATTAAGTATCTGCCGCATGTCAAGCCCTCTGCTATGTTCTTGGAGTTTTGTTTTGTTTTCAGAGACAGTGTCTTGCTCTGTTGCCCAGGCTGGAGTGCAGTGGCGTGATCACAGCTCGCTGAAACCTCTACCTCCTGGGCTCCAGCAATTCTTGTGCCTCAGCCTGCTGAGTAGCTGGGACAGTTGTGCGCATCACGCCTGGCTAATTTTTGTATTTTTCATAGAGACGGTGTTTTGCCGTGTTGGCCAGGCTGGTATCGAACTCCTGACCTCAAGTGCTCCACCTGCCTTGGCCTGCTAAAGTGCTGGGATTACAGGCCTTACAAAGCCAAGGCCTGGCCTTGTTCTTGGACATTTTCTTTCATAGAACTTTCTCTCCATGAGGGTGATGGACACTGACAGATGATGATCACACAAAAAAATTATTTAATTACATCATGATCAATGCTACAAAGGGTAAGTAAGACTAGTAAAGTATGAAGCCATCTTACGATATCTTTGTTCCCTTTCTGTAGAACCCACTCAACAATATCAATCTGCCCCTTGACTTGTCATGTCCTAGCCACAGACAAGAAGGGCAAAGCCCTTTCTCCTTCTCCCATCCCTCACCAGAAAAAAGAAAAAACAGGACAAACATCAGCCATGATGAGGTGGCGGTGACATTCAGGACTACCCCAGAAGCTGTCCAATTCTGCTTGTCTGCTTTATCCCAAGACCCATGACAATGCTGGGCAATGTGCTCTGTCACCTACAAGTTCTTCCTGTCCCTACTTGAACAGACCAACAGACCCAGCAAAGCTTTTTCTTTTCTTTTTTTTCTTTTGTCCTTTTTTTGAGATGGAGTTTCGCTCTTGTCGCACAGGCTGGGGTGCAGTGGCGTGATCTCAGCTCACTGCAACCTCTGCCTCCCGGGTTCAAGCGATTCTTCTGCCTCAGCCTCCCAAGTAGCTGAGATTACAGGCATGCGCCACCATACGTGGCTAATTTTTTGTATTTCTAGTAGAGATGGGGTTTCGCCATGTTGGCCAGGCTGGTCTCAAACTCCTGACCTCAGGTGATCTGCCCGCCTTGGCCTCCCAAAGTGTTCTAATTAGAGGTGTGAGCCACTGCGCCTGGCCCAGCAAAGCTTTTTCTGTTGAGTCTGAACTACTCCACTCCAGAGAGCAGGAACTAAGAGAGAATATTCTCTCAGCCTGAACTGAGTGCTTGACTTCCAAAGCCAATGTGAGAAACCTTCTCTATCTTCGCCCACTCCCTGTTACATTTCCCTGTGTCGATCCCCTCAGGAGTACCATCAGCAAGTCTTGGTTTCTATTTCAGTCTCACCCCCTCCTGTGCCCCTCCAGCAGTTCTCTTCCCATGTTGCCCACCTAGGACTCTGATGCAGCCCCGACTCCTGCAATTCGACCTGCATTCTTCTCCCTGCACTACCTAAGGCAGGGCATAGGCACTGCACATCCCTCTGCCCCCCTACCATGAACATCAGGACTCAGATGATGAAAGCTTTAAAGCTTTTCTTTTCTTTCTTTTTTTTTTTTTTTTTGAGATGGAGTCTTGCTCTGTCACCCAGGCTGGAGTGCAGTGGCACGATCTCTGCTCACTGCAAGCTCCGCCTCCCAGGTTCACCATTCTCCTGCCTCAGCCTCCCAAGCAGCTGGGACTACAGGGGCCCGCCACCACGCCTGGCTAATGTTTTTTGTAGTTTGTTTAGTAGAGACAGGGTTTCACTGTGTTAGCCAGGGTGGTCTCGATCTCCTGACCTCATGATCTGCCCGCCTCCGCCTCCCAAAGTGCTGGGATTACAGGCGTGAGCCACCGCACCTGGCCAAAATCTTTAAAGCTTTTCTTTACACATCACCCCTGAAGCCAGAATCATGGTGGAGGCACCAAATGGCACGCTACGGTTGTGTCAAACGAAACCCTCCATCTCTTGAGTGCCAGATTCTGTGAAGCACTTCACATGCATTTATTATTTCAATTCAACCTTTACAAAAATCCTGTAAGAAATATCTGATGATTTCTCATTTTACCAATGAAGAAACTGAAGCTCAGGCCACTCAAGTTACTTGTCCAAAGTCACCAGCTGAATAAATGCAGAGCTGAGATGTGAACTCAAAGCTGGATTTGAAACCTGTGTCCCTTCTGCTACTGCATGCGGGAATAACGATGCACTATGTGGTTGCATCTTTGGAAAAGCTCAAGGTCAGAGTCTCCAAAGGATGCTGCTCCCACCTGGTGCTTCAAAGCAGCTGCTAAGGGTAGAGGAGCTTCCTCCTCCCTTCACGCTCCTCCCTCACACTCTTCCTACCAACTCTGCTGAAAGCAACGTCATGGACGCCAGTCTTGCCCGATGATCCCACAAGCTCACCAGGATGAAGCTTTAACCATAGCTTCATCCTAAACCACTGACCAGTTTAGAAAAACTATTTGTAGTCCCAGTCTGAGATAAACAGACCTCACCACCCAATTTCCAACCTCCAAACAAAACTAGACAAATCTGGGAGCCTTAGAGTGACGAGGACTGGCTCCGAAATGATGGGATCACAGAGCTCTCATCCCACTGGGAGTTGCCTTTTCTCTGCCTGGGTAGTGGCACAGGGAGAAAAATATCTTGTGCTGACCACTGGATTTAGACATCACGTGATGCTAGGAACTGGTGACATCTAGGTTCTGAAGAGGGCTGAGAAAGTGTTCTTCCCAGTCCTCTCATTATCTTTTCTAATTCATCTGAATCATCCGGCTGCCCATGTCCCAGCCCAGCCAGCATTCCCATCCCTCCCTCCTCCTGCCGCAGAGCAAGCCCCGGAAAAAGGGTCACTGCTATTCAGTGGTTTGGGGATGGCCAGTCCTCACTGCTCTTGTGTCTGGCTGAAGCAAGCAACTAACAGATGGCAGCGATGAGATGGCAGCCAAGCCCCGCCAGCAGTAATTAAGCCGAGCCAGGCTCCTCGTCGCCACCTCCCTAGGGATGGTCTCAATTGGCCTTTGATTAGGGCAGCCAGAATGAGACCTGGTCTGACCAGGGCCTCACAGAAGCGGGTTTGTGTGGCAGAGAACAGGTCTGCCACTGTCTGTTGCCTGCAGACACTGGGAACTTTGGAGGCCTTGACAGAGCAGCCGGGGACACTGCTCTGCCCCGGTACAGTACAGCCCAACAGCTGCCCCGCCAGCCAGTGCTAACTGAGTACCCAGTGAACGGGGAGCACTGGAAAATCACAAGGGAAGGATGTTGGGCTGCTGTTCGCCAGAGGATTTTCTCCAAGGCCAGCTGCTGAATGGAGGCACCCAGGCTGCTTTCTACAAATGCAGATTCTTCTGCTGATTTGGCATCCATGGGGCGGGTAGTGGCCTGGCATTCACTAAAACCTTTTAATTTTTTTTTAACCCATGTGCACACCGATAAAACATTTTCTTTTCTTTTTTTTCTTGAGCCAGGCTGGAGTGCAGTGGCGTGAACCCAGTTCACAGCAACCTCCACCTCCTGGGTCAAGCGATCCTTCTACCTCAGCCTCCCAAATAGCTGGGACTTCAGGTGTGTGCCACTATGCCTAGCTAATTTTTGTATTTTTTGTAGAGATGGGGTTTCACCATGTTGCCCAGGCTGGTTTTGAGCTCCTAGACTCAAGCAATCCTCCTGCCTCGGCCTCCCAAAGTGCTGGGATTACAGATGTGAGTCACTGCGCCCAGCCTGATAAAACCTTTTAAAATAGCTCCAGGCTCTTAGAAATGCACTGGGCATTCAGGTCCAAAGTAAGTTATAATATTTACCAACAAGGTATAAATAATTGCACAATAATATACACTGCAAACTGGAGAAAGCTCAGAGTACCTTGGTCAACCCCATGGGGTCCACAAGGTGCCATGAGAACAGGAGAGTGAAATCACCTCCTCCTCATCTCCACTCTTTGGGGTTTCCACAAATTTTCCACCGCTGAGATTTTTTTTCCCCATTCATTTTCATTTCTCCCTCCTCTGCTGCTTTCACAAAGCTACTTAGAGAGTGGGGATGGGGAAGAGGACTATGCTAGGCCTTCAAGTCCAGTAGCTCCCATCTTCCTAAGATCCTGTGGGGATCTTAAGACGGGTATAGCTTCCCTCATTTGATAAATGAGGAAAGTGAGGCTCAGAGAAGTCAAACTTGAATGACCTGCTTGGCCACTAGGATCTCCAAACAATGACTTGGAGTCACACTGCTTATGAATATGTCATTTCAAAAAACAGGTCCCCAATTCTCAGTCCAAGAGGATGAGTCACTTACTTGTAGGTTTTGGACCTATCCAGCCAGATTCCTGAGATCACAGCCCCAAGCATTCCTGCAATGACGATCGTCAGGCCAATTCTTCCAGCATTCACTTCTTCCCCCTGGGGAAACCATAACCCCAAAGATCACCCGGCGATGGGACAAGACCCAGGACAGAGCACAGTCACCATGGGGTGAAGGAACAAAGGCAGGTAACTCAAGCTCCATCAGAGTCAATATTCAGAACATATCGGGACAAGATGGCCTAGGAGAAAATTCTAGAATAACTACTCCTCCCAACAATATAACCCTGACTGTGTGTGCATGATATTGGATGCTGGAGTGACAAGGATGAACCAAATCTGTTCTTAGAACTACTTTTAGGCAAATTTTTTAAAAAATGTAAACCTCACAGCAACTCTTCTATCTTATCTGTCATTAATTCCATTTCACAGATGGGGAATTTAAAATATATATGTTAAAATTTCCATTCTTAGGTTTTTTTGAACTATCAATGCCAAGAGGAATGGAAAGATAATAGTTATATATTTTTGAGTGCTTACTATAAGCCAGGCACCATGCCTAAGGTTTTATATCATTATCTCATTTACTCCTCGCCATTCCCCATCATAAGGTTAGGAGTCAGTCTTCTCCATTTTGCAGATGAAGAAACAGGCACAATGAAATTAACCTACTAGCCCAAGGTCACAAGGCATATGTTAAGTTCAAAGCTAGGATCTGAACTCAGGCCTTTGAACTCCAAAACTAGGACACTTAGCCATATAGTCTACCCCTTCTGCAAGTGTGAGAGCCTAGTCCTTTCAAAAGAGGGTTGCATCTCCGTATTCCTGACTCCAGGCCACTCAGTATTCCATTCCCAGCATCCAGCCCAGCCCTCGTGGGTTCTGGAAACATTTAAATTCAGAAATATTTTATATATATATTTGCCAACAGTGTTGCCAGGCACTATGCTGTATAATAAATACATGTATCACATATAATTATGTATACATACACAAGCGTCATTATTTACTCTCTGATCCTAAAAAGAACCTTGCAAGAAGCAATTATGCTTCTTTTGCAGAAAAAAAAAAAAATGAGAGCTCAGAAACACTAACTAGCTTGTCACACTGTCAAGCCATCACACAGTTTAGTAACACCAAAGCTAGGGTTGAGATCTAGGGCCATCTCCCTCCAAATCCCATAAGCATACCACCATATCACCCTACCTAGAACTGGGGGGAATGAAGACTTAACGGTCATCCCAGGTCCTGCCAAGACAGACTTAGAAACTATATCATCTTGAGGCCCAACATGCTTAGGGAACTCCCTTACCGGGTAGTGCCAGATCACCATGCGATTCAGAAGAGTGGACAAGGCATAAAAAGCACCAGCATTCAGACCTGAAGAAGGGAGCGAGAAATACAACATTAGGGTCAGCTTTCTTCTGGGGCCATTGCTAACTTCTCCCCCAGCATTTGGGGGGTGGGCAGAAATCCTCATCTCACTGCCACTCTGAGCAGTATCCTCAGAGAAGAAAACTCCAGGGAGGTCTGAGGCTACTCTGCAGTTTTCTCAAAGAAATACTTCAAAACAACCAAAAGTAACCATTTAACCTTCCCTTAGCCACACACTATTGCTCTCTGATCCCTTTAATTTGCCCTGGAAAATAGATTCTGTTGAGTATTACTCCCAGGGCAGAGTCATCTACATTCTTCTTAAGCGTTGGGTAGATCTAAGGGGTGGTCAGTAGAAGTCCTGGACACCCTCCTCTTCCTGATGACCCTGCCCCTTCTTGAGGCTGCTCCAGACCTCTGACATCTGACACCATCCCTCTGCAGGTGATTTCTCTCCTCTTTCTCCATTCCTCCTCCAACTTTCTTTGCTGATTCAATGTCACACAAAATCTATTACATGAAACTAGAAGAGATCCTAAAGAGCATTCAGTTGACTCTCCTACTTTACCAATTCATTCACCAAAGGAGCACCTAGAATATGCTGTGAAAGGCTGTATCTTTAGCGAATAAGGTCATTTGCCCAAAGTCATACAGCAAGTGAGTAGCTGAGACTGGAACTGACCCAAAGGAGAAAAGGCCTCCTGGCCTCCCTTCAATGGTGATGATGATGATGACAATGGCGGCTGCACATACCTATGGATTAGACACTTTATGACAACTCTAGAAAGTAGGTAGTATTATCGTCACCATTTTAGAGATAATAAAGATGCACACACAGTTAAAATAATAAGTACTGCCACTCCATAATGCCCACCGGGGGTCTTTCTAACTTTAACTAAACATTGAGGCTCACAAGACTACCACCGGCACACTCCATATTAGATTTACTTGGAAGGGTGTAAGTCAGGACACATAGCTTGTGGACAGGGCAGCCTCAGGAGTTCCTCTTCAATGGAACCAATCCATAGAACCCCAGTTCATATAGCCTTCCGGAAGCTACTGTCTTTCAGATGATGGCTAAGGTGCAAGGGAAGGTGGGTATGGCAACCACCCTGGCTTAATGCTCACAGGCACCACTATTACTTGTAACAATTCCGTAGGGGTAGCTTCCAGGGGCCCCATAAGTGACAGGCCAGTGAAAAGAGTCATTGTACTCCAAGAAGCACAAAGAATGGCTTCCCACAAGAATGAATAGGTCTCTCTGTCCATTTGTATCACCAGAGGACATTTTTATCATAAGCAATGTTGCCTAAAGGTAGTTGACGTACTCCCTTTATCAGGTTCCCAGGGAGTAAAAGATACAAAGTTAAGCGAAGGTCAAATTATCTTGCAAAATGGGAAATAATTTGCTTTGCAATCACACAGGTATTAAGTGATGGAGCTGGATTTGAACTCAGGCCCTGTGGCTCCAGATTTCTTGATCTTAATCACTCTGCTTTACATCCTCACAAAGCTGATTATTGAATCAGATTTTCCCAGCTCAGGTCATGAACAATTTCCTCATGTCCCAGCCTCTCCCAGCAGTTCACCCCAGGGATGCTACAAGGTTGGGCTCAATGCAGTCTCCTGAGCAGCACAGTGGGCCAACTGTGCACACAGTGAGCAGCACAGTGAGCCACAGTGGGCCAACCAACCCAGACATGTCCCCAAACATCACTACAACTGACAGGCTGATGGTTGCAATGATCATGAGGCTCTCAGCAACATCTCATTCAAGCAGCATTCCCATCTGCCCTTCATAGTACATACTCAGCCACTTAGAAAGTCCATTTCCGAGTGAAGAGATCCCGTAAGGAGACATTCCTGAAAAGCCAAGTGAGGTGGAGCGTGGGAAGGAGAAGAAAGAAAATAGTCTCCTCCCGTCTTCCCATTCATTCCTCCCGCTCCTCTCTAAGCCTCTTGCCTGCCCTAGCCTGATACTGCAAAGGGCAAGGAATGTTCCAACTCAGGCTTAGCTTCAGGGGAACAGCTGCTTTGCTAACTGGGATGAGCCAAGGATGGCAGAATCCACAGAAAAAGAAAGGAAATTATCCAGAAGGACTGGGAGCAAAAAAAATACACCAGTGCTCACTGGTCCTGATAAAGACCTGGGGAACAGAGTCCTGAACAGGTTGGCCCATACTGCTGAAGCTGAGTGGTTTTTCTGGGGCTCAATGGTTTAGTGAAATAGTTTCCAAAGTGTGGTCTCTGTTCCACCCCAGACCTACTGCAGCAGAAACTCTGGGAGTGAGGCCCCCGGCAATTTGCATTTGAATAAGCCTCCCAGGTGATTCTGATCGTGCTCCAGGTGGAAGCACTGGCTCCCTAGAGCAATGTGGTTAAACAACAGCCATCCCTGCTCCAGGCCAGACAGCAGACTGAAGCGGGGCTAAAGGGCGGCGAGAGGGAAGGAAGAGCAGGGGTTCATCCTGGAGGGCTGCCAATCTGTTCCACTGTTTCTGCAGCCCCACCTTAGAGGATTTAGGAGCTTATGTATGTTTTCTGAATCCATCTTTGGTCTAGATGTCCCTCACCATATTGTCAAAGTTTGCCAGACACAGTTAACCAGCGTAAGTCCACTCTACTGCCAAAACAAAGGGGTTGGGCATCCCACACAGAAGGGCAGGAATGAAATGCATGCTCCTTCCTGTGTGAGTACCCCTTACAGGAGTACAGGTGACTGCATTCTATTCAGGTCTGATCATCCTCAGCAAGGTGAGCCTGCTGGGCCAGGGAAGAGAAAATGTGATCTTCCCTGAAAGGCCTGGTCATTCCTGGAATCAGTCACCTGGGAGTAGTGCCACTTACTGAGGAGGCAGGCTTTAGAGAGGCAGAAAGGACTCTGTCATCATTCTGAGTCTCTTTCTCTCCTTTGTCAAAAACAATTTTTTTCTTTGTAAAAAATTTCTTTGGGGTCTCGCTATGTTTACCAGGCTGGTCTTGAATTCCTGACCTCAAACGATCCTCCCACTTTGGCCACCCAAAGTGCTGGGATTACAGGTGTGAGCCATCAAGCCCAGCCAATAACAATTTTATTCAAACTGTGTTCCGGTGACTACTGACATTAGAATTCCTTAAAGTTTAAAACTGCAGATTTTGAGGCCCTACCATAGACCTACTGAATCAGAATCTCTTGGAATGGGGCCCAGGAATCTGCATCTTTAGCAACTACAACAATAAAACCCCAATGCACTTGTTAAAATGTCTGGAATTTGAGAATACATGGCCTTCAAGATACAAAAGATCAGGGACCAGACCCAGGCTCCCAGGTGGTGGGGTTAACATGGAGGCAGCTGGGATGGGAAGGCGCTTCAAGACCCATCACACAGCTACCTCAGAGGTTCTCAACTCTGCTGCAAGTCAGAATTATCTGGGATGCTGGTAGAAAGCAGATTCCTAGGCCCCAACCCAAACTTTCTGAATCTGAATTTCCAGAAATCTATGCACACATTCAATCAAGCACCCCAGGGGGTCCTATCCTCAGGGAAGTCTGGGAAACACTGACCCCAGATCATATCTTTGGGTTTTGGTTATTCTGCGTTTCCCTTTAGTCCTTGTTTTAAAGGGCCAGCTTGACCTCGGCAAAGCTCCCAGGAATCTGGAGGATTTTATGCCCACTCCTCAGCCAGGATTTTAGAGGGGGCATGAAGCCCCCTCCCTAGGTCCATGTAGGTGGAGCAATGATAAAGTGCTGAGAGCCCCAAGGGAAGGTGAACCTTGGGATACACAAGTTGAGGCTCTGAGTTCAGATGCCAGAGGCACTGCAAGTTTATTCAGAAGCATGAATAATCTTGCTGGCAGCAAGTCTGGGGCATAACTATGGGAAAAGTACGCCCTTTGAGTATGCCATTTTCTAGAAGAGAAGCCTTTTCAACAATTCTTTTCAACAGGGCAGTTGTTATGCCATTGATAATAAGACATTAGAGGAGGCCATGTGAATGCAAGATCCAGAGACACAAAGAGAAGGTAGCCAGAGGAAGGTTCCTTTCTCCATCCCACCCTACCCTACTGTGAAACACACCAGAGACACAAAGAGAAGGTAGCCAGAGGAAGGTTCCTTTCTCCATCCCACCCTACCCTACTGTGAAACACACCAAAGACACTGGCAGACAGGTGGAATTTCTGGTTCCCTGAGTCTTCCCACATTGCCAAAGTTAAAGGAGAGAGGAAGGGTGTTTTACTGGCAGTTTCTTACTGATATGATATTTCCGCAACATCAAGCACGAGCTCCACCCCTGCACCTCTCCCCCTCTAAACTGAATTGCCAGATTTTGAAAAAAAATAGCAAATAAATACATTTATAATAAATAATAGTTCTTAGTATAAATATGCCACAAATATTGCATAAGACATATTTATATTAAAAGTATTTGTTGTTTATCTGAAATTCAGATTAACTGGATGGTCTTTATTTTATCTCTCAACCCTACCTCTAAGAGTGTAGCCAGAAGTCTAGGGAAAAGCCAGCAACACTTGGACCCTCGATTTCCTCCAAGGCCTTCAATTATCGCTGCACCTCAGTTCTGGGCAGTTGACTCATCAGCTGGGAGAACCACTTGAAAAGCCACTACAAATACAATACCACCAGCTGCAGGACAGTTACTCCCCCTCTTAGTGAAATCTGGTTTGGACCAAAGAAGCAACGCTGGAAACCAGTAAGTTTACCAATGCAATAGCATTGCAGTCTGGCAATGGCAGACTGGCAGTCTGGAGGCATGCCATGTCTTTATTCTCAACTGCATTAAAAGCTTTCACTTCCATTCAGAACACTCCAATGGGAAATAAGTATCATTACTGTTTTCTAGTGGGGGTGGAGAGTATTAAAGAGATGAAGGATGGGCAGCACAGATGGATGAAGGTGGTACACTCAGTATCTGGCAGAGCTGACACCAAAACTCAGACCTCCCATTTCTTATGAGCCAACTCTGAACTTACGAGTCCAGCACTCAAGGCTCTTAACCCAAGACATGTCCACCCATGTCCAGTACATGTGCCTGTGAAATGCTGTTGCCTGCTTAATTCCTAGCCACATGCTCTTTAAATGCATATAATTCAGAGCTAAATATGAACACTATGTGTACAATGTAAAAAGTATGAACCATTTTGTTCTTCAAAGTCCAATCTGAAACTGCAAGGGGATTAGGAGGACTGGGGTAATTCTGGAGGATTTCAAAGCATCTAGTTGAATTGATAGAGGGCATTTTAGAAAATTGTTTTTGTTGGGAGGCCAAGGCGGGCAGATCACCTGAGGTCAGGAGTTCGAGACCAGCCTGGTCAACATGGTGAAACCCTGTCTCTACTAAAAACACAAAAATTCCCTGGATGTGGTGGCGGGTACCTGTAATCCCAGCTACTCGGGAGGCTGAGTCAAGAGAATTGCTCAAACCTGGAAGGTGGAGGTTGCAGTGAGCCGAGATCATGCCACTGCACTCCAGCTTGGGCGACAGAGTAAGACTCTGTTTAAAAAAAAAAATTGTTTTTGTTTTTGTTTGTTTTAATTTGGAACAAACACAGTAGGAAAAGAAAGCAAAGATTAACAGTTGGAGTAAGTGCCTATAGTTCTCGCCCTATAGGCAAGAAGCTAAAACTCTAGAGCCTCAGTTTCCTCATGTATAAAATGAAACAAAGGGCTATGTCATGGGTTTGTTTTGAAAATTAAATGAGATAATGCATGTAAAGCAATTAACATGATTCCTCCGTCAAAAATTTTTTCAAATCTGTGATTAAGTCTAAGAATCATTTTCTTTTTGGCAAAGAACCCCATATGGACATCACATTCTCCAGAGTTTCCTTTCAGCATTTTCAGGCAGCCTCTTGTTCACCCCAACTGTTATCCCCACTGCAGGCAGCTACAATGTTAAGCAGTGCCATTGACTGTTTTCAACAAATGCCCTGGCAATAGGGCTTTTCCCATTAGCAAACTCCAAGTCAGGTTAAATAGCAACATGTCCTATGAATAGGGCTTTTCCGGGGACCTGCTAGGTAGGTCAAATAGTAATTCTCAGGGGTGGAGCTCCAAATCGACTTTGCTCCCTCCAATGGCTATGAGACAGTTGGTTTTCACAGCTCCACGGCTGCGAGGCTGCTGGATGTCACAGCCCCATGGCTGCAAGGCTGTAGTAGGGAGAAAGGGATTGGAATAGGGCAAGTGAAAACACAAGGCCCACTGTTGTTACTGATATTTAGCCATTTCTCTTGAATAAATGCTGCTTGGATTGTTGCAAGCCATTTGTTAAAAGTTCTGAAAAAATTCATTTGGATATTTTTTGCCATTGTTCTTGTTTCTATAGAGGAGCGGATTTTCTAAGGTCCTTACTCCACCATTCAAGAAGTGCTTTCCTATTTATTTCCTCGGTTATCATTTAATCAAATAGATAAGGAAAAGTGTCCAGAAGTACAGGATTAAAACTACTTTGTCAGATTAAAGACCACGTAAGCAAACAGGCATGTGAGAGGAAGGAGGAGGAGTAGCTTTGCTCCCCACAGCATGGCCTAGGCTTGACCCCTCGATGACCAGGAGCAACAATGTTTCTGGTACATTTTGTCTCTGTTTCTTGTTCTCATGAGTCAGTGACCTGGCCCTAAGACCAACAACCTCCAGCACTGAGGACCACAGCCTTTGGAATGGGACCATTGCCCAGTTATCACCACTGTCACCATTTTCAGCTATAGAAAATATTTATGAAGCACTCATCTGCCCTAGAATCCCAGGTAGGCCTCAAATATCCTCTTGTTAGATGCAGCAAGATTTATGGTTGTCAGAGGTCAATGCACTCATGATGTCCAACTCTAGCGAAAGTAAAAGCTCTTAGAGTCATGGAATCCTGAGTCTAGAAGGGCCCCCAAAGGCCATCTGGTTTCACTATCCATCTTTAGCCTGAGATCCCCTACAACATTCCCATCAAGTGGTTAGTCCCATCTATGCTTGAATACCTTCCGGTGATGGGGAACTTGTAACTTCCTTAGTTGGACTTCTCTAAGCATTGGAAACTTTGTCTTTATTTTGCGGATGAATGGGGAGACATACTCAGAGAATTGAGAAACTGGAGGAAATGAGGAACGGAGGACCAAGATCTTGAAGACAAACCTACAGCTATTCCAGATGAAAGGTCACCTAATTTCTATGTATGCCTGAAAAACAGGATTGCCCCTCTACCAGGATGAAGCCACCTCTTATCTAGTGTTTCAGCAGATAAACATTTTAGTTGAGATAAAATGTATTGTTGAGCCTAAAATGAAACTCTGGCACAATTCTAGGAAGGAACATCAGCAATTACAGAACAGGCATTAAGAATGCAGATTTTGGCTGGGCGCAGTGGCTCACACCTGTAATCCCAGCACTTTGGGAGGCCAAGGTGAGCAGATCACCTGAGGCCAGGAGTTTGAGACCAGACTGGCCAACATGACAAAACCCTGGCTCTACTAAAAATACAAAAATTAGCCGGGCATGGTGGCATGTGCCTGTAATCCCAGCTACTCGGGAGGCTGAGGCAGAAGAATTGCTTGAGCCGGGGAGGCAGAGGCTGCAGTAAGCCCAGATCGCACCACTGCACTCCAGTGTGGGCAAAAAGAGGCAAACTCTGTCTTAAAAAAAAGAAAAAAAGCAAAAGAATGAGACTTTGGAGTTAGACAAACTTGTATTTGAACTCTGGCTCTGCCACTTGAAAGTTGTGTGACCTTGGGCTAGTTATTTGGCCACTTTGAGTTTAGTTTCCTCATCTGTTAAATAGGGATAATTTTAGTACCAACATCACATAGGTGTACTGGAAGTTAAATAAAATCAGATATGAAAAGCACCTGACACATAGTAAGCACTATTGTTGTTATAAAACATAAAACAATAGCTTTTGAGTCTATAGGCAACATGAAGCCATGGCCAACTGGGGTTTCACTAAGAATAAGTCATGTCAAACCAATTTCATTTCTTTGTTTCATATGGTTACGGTACATGTCACAGATTTGCTAACGCTTAGTTTTAATCAAACTTTAACTGGTGGATTAAATGACCAAATGTAGGCTGAATAGCAATAAAGGTGGGTAGATATGTAGCAGCTTGAACTAAGGGTACTAACTAATAGACTGGCATTCATCTGGAGGACACTCTTTAGTGGAATGCTATGAGGCTCTGTCTTTGCCCTTGTTCGATCCAACAATCTTATTACAGGTTTGAAATAAGATACAGAAAACACCATGCGGGGAAAGAAAGCCAACATGTTAGCATAAAGATTCCAATTTATCTTTCCAAGAGCCAAGCAAATGAAATGAAAGAGGGATGTTGTTGTGCATTCAGATAAAATAGAAGTCAATTACAGGATGAGGGAGGACTGGTTGAGGAGTGACTCATGTGGCAAGACACATATATGCATGCATGCATTAATTAATTAACTAATTCAGTAACTACTGGAATAGTCACTCGAGGCCCGACACTGCTGAGGAACTATAAAGATGAAAAACATAAATCCACACTCAGAGAGTTCAGTCTAATGGGGAAATAGACCTGCAAAAAAATTTTTTTTTAATGACAGGTGTTAAGATGTACAAGGAATAGCATGGTAAGAGAGGGAAAGTTACCTACTACTGCTTTACAAAAGTGATACTGAGATGAGACTTGGAGGACCAACAGGCATTTGTCAGATAACCTGACATGGGAAGAAATTATTTTCTAGGTGGACTTTACAACACATGCAAAGGCCCTTGGGCATAGCTGGGTCCTCTGGATTGACCCTAGACAACAGCTTTACATGCACATTTGGGATTTAGAAAGAGTAATATATGAAGACACATCAGGCCTCTCATCTAACATTTCCAGCTCGAATGCATTCCTAGACACATTGACACCTTACCATAGGTGATGACAAGCAGCACAAAGTTGAGATTTTTGAAGAGCCGGGCGATGGAACCTAAGTATGAGGCATCAGGAGAGGTCAAGGCATAGCTCAGGGATTGGGCCCTGCTGGGGGGATATTTAGGTTTCTCCTTGAACACTGAAAGGAAAAAAACAGAGATGGCTGAAAATTCCCATGGTCCCACCCCAGAAGAGCTGGTTCCACATGAATGAAAGCTGCTCCATCATCTGAGAGGAGCTAAGACTCCCAAAGGAAATAGTAATTCTTTAATTAAACCCTTAACAGCCCCCTTCTTGAAGCTGCTTCTCATTGTTTGAGGCTGAGTGAATGGTCCTTTGATACCATTCACTTTTTTATTTTTTATGCCATTTTCTTTTTTTTTTTCTTTATTTTTTTTGAGACGGAGTCTCGCTCTGTCACCCAGGCTGGCGCCATCTCGGCTTACTGCAACCTCCACCTCCTGGGCTCAAGCAATTCTCCCATCTCGGCCTCCTGAGTAGCTGGGACTACAGGCGTATGCCACCACACCTGGCTAATTTTTTGTATTTTTCATAGAGATGGGGTTTTGCCATGTTGCCCAGGCTGGTCTCAAACTTCTGAGCTCAAGCGATTTGCATGCCTCAGCCCCCCATAGTGCTGGGATTACAGGCGTGAGCCACCGCACCCGGACTGATTACTTCTGCTTTTCTTTTTTTTTTGAGACGAAGTCTCGCTCTGTCGCCCAGGCTGGAGCACAGTGGTGTGATCTTCGCTCACTGCAGCCTCTGCCTCCCGGGTTCAAGTGATTCTTGTGCCTCAGCCTCCTGAGTAGCTGGGACCACAGGCATACACCACCAATGCCTGGCTAATTTTTGTATTTTTAGTAGAGACGAGGTTTCACTATTTTGGCTAGGCTGGTCTTGAACTCCTGACCTCAAGTGATCCACCCACCTTTGCCTCCCAAAGTGCTGGGATTACAGGAATGAGCCACCACACCCAGCCCTGATTATTTTTTTTTAAATCACCTCTGGAAGGCTGAAATCACTGGACCTCCCAGGCAGTGTTCAAAGATCAAGGAAACTCATAATAACCAGCAAATAACATACCACAGAGAACTGAAAAAACACACTAGCAACACATGATGGAAAAGCAGCAAAAGCTTTCTCATCCTGGATTCTTGGTGGGGAACAATGCAATGAGAACGGTTGAATGAGGTACCCAATTATATAACTGCTTGACTCTGGAGGTGGGGTCAGTAGGCAGGAATGAAACCTTTAACATGTGAGGTGGAACTTTCAAGTATTAGGAAGAAAGCTGGTTAACCTTTAGACAGGTGACTAACTGAAAATAAAAACCTCTGTCTTGCTGGTTCTAAGTTTATCATAGCCCATATAATATCACCCAGCTGAAAAAAAGGGATGTAAAATTATCTTACCAAATACCTCAATCATTAAATGTACATGGATATAAAATATTAACAGTAGTGGCCGGCCAGGTGTGGTGGCTCATGCCTGTAATCCCAGCACTTTGGGAGGCTGAGGCGGGTAGATCACTTGAGGTCAGGAGCTCGAGACCAGCCTGGCCAACATAGTGAAACCCTGTCTCTACTAAAAATACAAAAATTAGCCGGACATGGTGACAGGCACCTGTAATCTCAGCTACTCGAGAGACTGAGGCAGGAGAATCACTTGAACCCAGGAGGCAGAGGTTGCAGTGAGCTGAGATTGTGCCACTGCACTCCAGCCTGGGTGACAGAGCAAGACTCCATCTCCAAAAATAAACAAATAAATAAATAAATAAATAAAACATTAACAGTAGATATCTAAGGTTTGTGGTTGGGATTAACTTGTACAATGACAAGTTAATGGTCATTCCTTTCTCTATGCTTTTTTGTATTTTCTAGATTTTTCTATAATAAGCATATGTTACTCTTATAATTTTTTTAAAAGGCATTAAAGAACTATGATCCCCAAGTACTGTCAGGTTAATCTATGAAATTATTAGTTTTATGGATCAATTTCAGTTTTTTTTTTTTAGAAATTTAGAATAGGGACATAGACAAGCTTAGACTTGAATCCAATCTCTGCCACTTACGAGCTATCTAATCTCAAACAGTTTATATAACTTCCCTTAAGTCTCATTTTTCTCTTTGTTAAATAGGACTGATAGTGGTGCCTCACTGATAGGGCTGTTGACAACTAAATGAAATCAGGCATGCTCAGTACAGTGCCTGTGATGGCCTAAGTGCTCAGTGGGTTTCATCAAGGGGACTAGCACTCTACCCATTACTTCTGATGAGGTAGGACTGGGGAACTGGTTAATGACAATTAAACCTTTCCTTAGCCACTAACAAAGTGCATAGGACCAGCTACCACTGTGTGGGGACAACTGCCCAGGCTAAAACATTTGAAGACCATAAGAAGCCCAGACTCCAGTTTCTGTAAATATCCATGGTATTTCAGGGCATGTTCACAAGGGTCCCATCAAAGTCAGCAGAATCTCCCTGCCCCTTCGCCCCCTGCTACCCCATCTGTTTACTAATGACCTTACCAATGATGACAAGGATGAGGAGGAGAGTGGCCACACCTCCTATTATATAGAACATGATGCTGATGTGGTAGGCAAGCTCGTCCCGGTCTTCAATGTTGGGTACCAAAACAGGAGGGACCAAGAACCCAATCGCAATTCCAAGCTATAGAAGACAGAGACAACCCAATCACAGTTACCAATGGCCAAGAGGTGACAACACAAATGTAAAGAGATTCCTAATAAGAAATCTAATTTCCAACTTCCAATCCTTCCTAACACCCATGCAGGGATTATTTCTCACCTCAAAACACCAGAGAAATCTTTCTTCTGACTGACATTTTGGCTCATACATCCTTCTGACCACCCTCACTATCAATGCCTATTATAAGAACATGTAGTTGATGGTCTCAGTGCGGGCTGGCTCTTCTCTAGCTGCAAATTGATGAAAAATGGTTCCTCTACTCCCATATCTGGAGTAGACTAAAATAACATTGATCATTATTTTCTTGTGCTACTCAAATTTTTAGTTTCACTGAATCTGTTAACCCAGAGCTGAGAGCCCAGCTGGGGAGAAATTCTATACCCTGCAAGCCCAAGAACTTGCATTCAGTAAGAGTTGGAAGGCTAAAGCTGTTACCACATTTACAAGCATGGAAGCTTCAGTTTATTGTGTGAATAACGTAGTAACTTCTAAAGCATCTGTAGTGTGAAGTCACACATAACTGCATAAATTTATACACATAGGAGATAGGCACGTAAAAAATGGCTATAAACACACACACACCCCCAACAAATTAAACCATTTCTTTTTTTTTTCTTTTTCTTTTTTTTTTTTTAAATGGAGTCTCGCTGTGTCGCCTGGCTGGAGTGCAGTGGCGCAATCTCGGCTCACTGCAGCCTCCGCCTCCTGGGTTCAAGCAATTCTCCTGCCTCAGCCTCCTGAGCAACTGGAACTACAGGCGTGCGCCACACCTGGCTAATTTTTGTATTTTTAGTAGAGACGGGTTTCACCATGTCGGCCAGGATGGTCTCCATCTCTTGACCTCGTGATCCACCCGTCTTGGCCTCCCAAAGTGCTAAACCATTTCTTATCTGGGTTGGAGTCCAAACTCCAGTGACCGACAGATAACATGACTTGGGTGTTTCCGAGGTCAGAAAGGCTTGGCTTCAGTACTGACTGGCTGTGATACAATTCCCAAAAGCCCTTCTGCTGCACATAATATTGAGGCGGAAATGGGAAAATAGCTTGTGAACTCAGGCAAGCTTCAGATTCCAAGAGTGAAGGAAGATGAGTAATTCCTTTGTCGTAAGGTCTCATTTTTCCTTTGTTGTACTTGAAAGAGCTACAGGTAAAGAAACAATTTGCTTTCGCTCCTCACTTTCACATCATCCATCAACTGCCAATCTGCTGACCCCCTTGATTCGTTTTTCCTTCTGTCAATTACAGCCATTCAAGATGTTTACTAGTGGTTCTCAGTTCTGGAATATTCACAAAAGTGGTCACTCATAGTTGCTGTGTAGAGTTCTTTATACCAGTATGTAATCAATTAACCAAATGCATCTTTAAAACGTACTCTGCTAGATATTTTAGAAAGTACCAAGAGGTATAAGACAGAGTTTCTGCCTTCAAGGAGCTTAATAATCTGTTAGCAGGAAAAATGTTAAAACAAAAATACAACAGATAACACAACTGGCCATATTTGTGGGTTAAAATGATAGAATATTACAGTTTGAAAGTTCATCTGTAATCGTTTATTATAATTACAAACCCAATAATTACAGGAGAAAACAAAGGCCAAGTGAGGTTAATTGAGCTCTGTGACTTGTTGAGGGTCACCCAGAGTTCTAGCAGAGTGGAGGTGAGAAAGCAGATCTCCTGGCTTCTCTGGCCAGTGCATCCCAGGCTAAGAGCCTGGAGAAAGGCCCAGGCAGGCAGGCTTCTGCAGAACAGAGGCCTCTTTTGTGTCCTTGGAGCTTTAGCTGATCCTTGGTCATACTGGTTTGTCAGAGTCAGGCTTCCTACTGCTCATCTTCAAGACTTTAATTGAAGGTAGAAACCAGCCACAAGCAGAGGGGCAAATGCAACCTTCTTCATAGCTGGGAAGCTGGGCCCACTCCAGCTCATATATGGCCTTCTAAGCACTTTGGAGTTGGAGGTCTGGAAGTTAAGTAGAATCTCCCAGGGTCCCATTTGCAAGAGTGAGGAAAGATACAGACATCATCTGAGGCTCTGTGACTCTTTCATTTCCAAAGGAAAATTAAAGCTCTGAGGTCCCAACACAGGATATCTTAATTCTCAGTTAATCTTCTGCCCCATTAAAGAAATCCTCCCAGCTGGTGCTACACTGTATGCCCTCCTCCTCTGGGGCAGCTGGACTCTGTTCATTCCATCTATACACCAAGCTTGAGTGAGTGCTGTTCCACCCCAACTCCGGCTTTTAAGCCTTCTCCAGGCAGCAGGTTGGATGGGTGGGCCTTAGCAGTGGCCTACAGTAACCCCAGCTGGGCAGCAACACTGTCTCATGGTAACCTTTCTCAAGGAGGAAATTGGCTATGGAGGTACATTTATGCCCAGTGTGGAAAACCAAAACATCAGGATTAGACTGTAAGCTGCTTCCTCTTTTGTTTTTTCAATACATATTTTTTTCCTGCTTCTTAAGAGCAGTGTTTAGGGAGAGTCTATTTCTAGTTCCTAGTATATAGGTCTGTTCCATAGTCATGATGGATGGATGGATGGATGGATGGATGGATGGATGGATGGATGAGCAGATGAACGTTGGTGGAAAATCCTGTCTACACAAAGCTAGGAATGACACATCTCTCTATTAAGGTCCAGGTTCTTTCTACATTGTACTCACAGTGGTAAGAAAAAAAAATGTGTATGGGAAAGTAAGGAGAGGGTAGGATACCCTAGTGTATCTTGAGCATCTACTATGCGCCGAATATGTAATACACTTTATCTTTTCATTTAACCCCAATAACTTTATTTATTTTTAATTAATTATTATTATTTTCTGAGACGGGGTCTCACTCTGTCACCAGGACGGAGTGCAGTGGCATGATCTCAGTTCACTGCAACCTCTGCCGCCTCCCAGGTTCAAGTGATTCTCCTACCTCAGCCTCCCAAGTAGCTGGGATTACAGGTGCCCACCAACATGCCTGGCTAATTTTTGTATTTTTAGTAGAGACAGGGTTTCCCCATGTTGGCCAGGTTGGTCTCAAACTCCTGACCTCAAGTGATCTGCCCGCCTCGGCCTCCCAAAGCGCTGGGATTACAGGCGTGAGCCACTGCACCCAGCCTATCGCCAATAACTTTGTAACAACAAAAAAGAGAGAGGGCAAAAAAAAAAAAAAAACCCTGCTGCTCAGCACCCTGCCCAGGGTCACACAGGCAGCTAGCAGAGGAGCTGGGCTCCTAAGCCAGTTCTGTCTGATGTCAGAACCCAGGCTCACTTTGCTGCCTTCCATGAAATGTTGGTGTGATACTAGTCAACACGGAAGTCTACATTTTCACCCATTTGGGTTGTCATTCATTTGACAGGAAACCTCTGGGGTACAAATCAGAGACCTGGGGCCTGAATCAGTGAAACATTAATTTAAAATGTGGGAGAACGGGGCACATGGAGCATTTGGCATCTTTCCTGGAGACCCACCTTGGGAAGGCAAATGAATGAATGTCACTGCTAACTGGTTTTGAGTTGACTTACATCCCTGCACTTGTTCTAGTTTTATCATTCTCAACAAAACACAAAGTCATGGGCAAAATACAAAATTCATGGTCAAACCAAGTCATAGTCTTAGCTCTTCTGGAACATACTTTTCAAAATTAGGCTCTCTTCATTTTTACCCATCCCATAGCAGTATTTCCCAAACTTGTCCCATAACAAACGTCACCAGTACCAACCCCGTTTTTATCCCTCAGGTCTGAGGTGGGTCCTAGGTACCTGTATTTTCATATGCAGGCATCCCCATCTTCATCAAGGGAGTTGGGGAGATACTGGCCTCTGAAAAAGTATGACTCATGCCTCCTAATAGCTTCCATGCAGCTCTGCTCCTAGCTATTTTCCATGATAGCCAGCCATCTTTGGAAAACGTCCTGCTTAACACCCTGCAGTGACTTCTCCTTGCTTTAAATTAGAGGTAAAAATCCTAAGCACAGCCCACAAGGTTCTGCACATGGGCTCTGTCTAATGGTCTGACCCTTGTCACCAGCTTGTTCCTCAGGACTTTGCTACACTGAGCTCCTTTCTGTCTTTCAAGTGACCATGGGGAGTTTGCACCAGCTCCTCTACCTGGACTAGAATCTCTCTCTGCCCTGTTTCAGCTAGTCAATGCAGATATCCTTCAGGTCTGAGTGCAAATCCTGCTTCCTCAGGAAGGTTGCTCTAATCCCTTACATGAGGTTGGGTTCCTGCATAGGTAATTTTATATTTGTATGATCATTTAATTAACATCTGTCTTCCCAACCAGATTATAAGCTCCATGAGGGCAGGGCTCACACTGATCTCTGCAGGCTGGCACATGATAATACTCATCATAGTAAAATGTATGAGCTTTATGCAGAGTATCTCAAGCCTCACAACAACCCCAGAAAGAGGGGTCTAACATCGTCCCAATTTTACAGATGATGAAGCTGAGATGCAGGAAGGCTAACTGACTTGCTCAAGGTCACACAGCTATAGGTAGCAAAGCTAGAGTTTTCAACATACAGTATTTCAAAGTTAGGTAAGCTTTACAACTATAGTTTACTTCATCCCAATAGAGGGTGTTTAACAAAAAATGTGATGAATGAAGGGATGGAGAGGCAGCCTGGGATATTTAATTTTCATTTTCTATTTTATTTTCACCCTTTCTGCAAACTCAAAGGTGACCTCTAAATGCTACTGTAATGTCAGTAATCAGGAACGTTTCCAGAGCAAATGTCACAGTTAAAAACATGTCTATGTCGTCTGAGGGCCCTAGGTGACAGGGAGAAGCCATACTTTGAATGATGTCTCACTTGTGATTCTAGCTCATGCATTTGGCAGAGCAAGAATAAAACCAGAAAATCATCAGGCTGCGTCTGGGGTAAGATTTCCATACCCAACCCATTACACAACACAACACACATGCTATGCCAGCTCTGAGATCCACAGAACCACTGTTTCCCATCCTCTTCCACCATCCACTGTCCCCACCCACCATTCACAAAGCCCTAAGTCACAATTGAATCAGAACCCTAGCACACAGATGCCCTCCTAAATCCTACCTAGTCATGGGGCCAGAATATGGCCAGGCCATCCAGGGAGGATCCAAGAGCTTCCCCAAAAGGCAAGGCAAGGAGCTCTTTGTCCACACAGTGGTGAGGGCTTCAGTCCAAATGGAACAGGAAAAGAACCAGTAGTCCCCATCTGAGCCTTTTGCTGGGTCCCAGGCAGCTTATCCTCTTGACCCAAGCCACTGGCAAGGTGGATCCTGCTCCTGTTAGGAGACAACAACCTCCACAAACAGGTTCTCACCTACTGAAACTCATTCCTCTCCCAACGTGCTGTGCTATTCAGACAAAGGCAAGCCCACCCTCACCCCTAGGGCTGGGCCCCAATTTGCTCAAACCAATTGGCTCATTCCTCTCCCCTGGGCATAATCACTGGGTATGGCTGGACATGTTCCCTTAGATTTCAGAGCTCTCAGGAGCTATCTTCCTAGTGCTGAGTCAAAAAAGTCCATACTCCATAAACATGTAAAATGCCATGTATCAATTAAAAAATATATATATGTATGTATCCCTTTATTGAGCCAGCTGCTTTCTTTGCACCAGAGTCCCTGAGGCTGAAGGCTTCCATCAAATTTGGTCCCTTTATGACCTAATCTGGGGCTTGCCTCATGCCCATGCTATGCTATTTTTATTTTTTAAATTAAAAAAAATTTTTTTTTTTTGAGACAGAGTCTCACTCTGTCGCCAGGCTGGAGTGCAGTGGCGCAATCTTGGCTCACTGCAACCTCCGCCTCCTGGGTTCAAGCAATTCTCCTGCCTCAGCCTCCCAAGTAGCTGGAACTACAGGATCATGACACCATGCCTGGCTGATTTTTTAATTTTTTGTGGAATTGGGGTCTCTCACTATGTTGCCTAGGCTGGTCTCAAGTGGTCTTCCCATCTCAGCTTCCCAAAATATTGAGATTACAGGTATGAGCCACCATAACTGGACTTACGCTATTTTTTTTTTTTTTTTTTTTTTGAGATGGAGTCTCACTCTGTCACCCAGGCTGGAGTGCAGTGGCACGATCTCGGCTCACTGCAAGCTCCATCTCCCGGGTTCATGCCATTCTCCTGCCTCAGCTTCCCGAGTAGCTGGGATTACAGGTTCCCGCCACCACATCTGGCTAATTTTTTTTTTTTTTTGTATTTTTAGTAGAGACAGGGTTTCATGTGTTAGCCAGGATGGTCTCAATCTCCTGACCTTGTGATCCGCCCGCCTCGGCCTCCCAAAATGCTGGGATTATAGGCATGAGCCATGACGCCCAGCCGGCCTTATGCTTTTTTAAATGAATCTCCCACTTCTCCTTTCTGCTTCAACATTCCTCAGAGACATCATCATACTAATATAGTGCTTAAGGGCTCAGGGTCAGGGGTCAGAAAGATCTCAATTCAAATCTCGGCCCTACCAGTTACTAGAGCTTGGCAAGTTAATTGACCTCTCTGTGTGTTTCCTAATCCACAAGAGGAAGAAAATACCACCTAGCTCATCGGGCTGAGGCTCACTCCCTGTCTGCAGGGTTGGCCCTTTCCCACACACTCTCACACAGCAGAGGTGACAGGCAGCAGAGGCCACTGGGACTCCCAAGATGCACTTGGTTTATTTGGGGAAGTCATACAAACCATCATCCTACCCTGGTTCTGCTTCACTTCCTTCTCTGGCTCCATCTGCGTGTCCTTCCTCAATTATCTTAGTCATCTTTGACTCTGCCCTCTTATATGCACTTCGTCTCAGATCCTCCCAAACCCTTCTGCAAAGTCCTCTTTGAATCTGCCCTGTCCCACTTCGGACCTTTCTGCCTTTCTCCCAGGCAACTGTGATCTCTCCTCTGCCCGACCTGCATGATGTACTCACATTCATGGTCCTTGGCGTTGCATTGACCCCACCGTCCCTGCTTAAAGAACTTCAAGGTGTCAGCCCTCTCAGAGGAAGGAAGCAGGTCCAAACCCCTCAGCTACTGTTCTTAGCCATTGATTTGGTTTGGCTCTGTGTCCCCACCAAAATCTCATCTCGAATTGTAATCCCCATGTGCCAAGGAAGGGGCCTGGTGGGAGGTGACTGGATCATGGGGGCAGTTTCTCCCATGGTATTCTCATGGTAGTGAGTTCTCACAAGACCTGATGGTTAGAAAAATGTTTGACAGTTCCTCCTTCAGACGCTCTCTCTCTCGCTCTCTTGCCTACCACCATGTAAGATGTGCCTGTTTCCCCTTCCACCATGATTGTAAGTTTCCTGAGGCCTCCCTAGCCATTTGGAGCAGTGAGTCAATTAAACCTCTTTTCTTTATAAATTACCCAGTTTCAAGCAGTTCTTTATCACAGCGTGAAAACAGACTAATACAGCTGTCTTTGCTAGTTTCAACCTTCCTTTCCAGACCCTTCTCTTCTGTATCCCTATAAATCCCCTATATTCCAGCCAGATTGAACAAGTCATGATTCCAACCTTCCCATCATCTCGTCTATACCTTTATCCCAAGTTATCCCCTTTTTAATCTTTCAGAGCCCATCACCATGTGAATTCTCTCACAGAGCTTTCCTTGACGATCCTCACTAGGCGTGATTGCCTTGCTCTAACTTCCTCTAATCTTTGGGTTGTCAGTCATTTTCCTGATACTTGCTAGTCTGGCGCTTACTCAATACATGGTTGTTGAAAGAATGAGCTGCAGTTAACTGGCATGTCAGGAAAGCACCATTGCCACTGCACATTTGTCATGTGAGCCCAGAACTGTGGAAAGATGTGGTTGGAAATTTAAGTCTAGACAAGGTTCTCAGAGAAAGTTTGATACTTTAAAAAGCATGGTTGAGGATCCTTTTAAAATAAGAGCCTCATAAAAGATACATTGAGGTTCAATCTAGACTTTCACACATTGGATTACTGTAAGCCCATCAACCCAAATGAGCAATTTTAAAGCATTCAGTATGATGCTGTCCTTGCCAAAGGATGTTTTACATGATACAGTTATTAGGTAAATGTGTATATCTACATACCTCTATGCACACTACCAATGATTTTATGGCCTAAAGATTAATCTGAAGTTAAGTTCACAGAGTAGGGCAGCTGAGGAAAACTTCAGCTGCACAGACAACTTGGGAGAAAGTGTTACTATGTAAAGGGGCATGATGGGTTTGGATGTTGTCCCCTCTAAAGCTCATGTTGAGGCTGGGTGTGGTGGCTCATGCCTATAATCCCAGCACTTTGGGAGGCCAAGGTGGGTGGATCATTTGAGGTCAGGAGTTTGAGACCAGCCTGGCCAACCTGGTGAAACCCTATCTCTACTAAAAATACAAAAATTAGCTGGGCATGGTGATGTGCACCTGTAATCCCAGCTACTCGAGAGGCTGAGGCAGGAGAATCGCTTGAACCCGGGAGGCAGAGGTTGCAGTGGGCCAAGATGTGCCACTGCACTCCAGCCTGGGCAACAGAGCAAGACTCCATCTCAAAAAAAGAAAAAAGAAAAAGAAAAAGAAATCTCATGTTGAATTGTAATCTCCAGTGTCGGAGGTGGGGCCTGGTGGGAGGTGATTGGGTCAGGGGGGCAGATTTCTCATGAATGGTTTAGTGCCATCATCATTCCCTTGGTGCTCTCCTTGCAATAATGAATTCTCCTAAGATCTGGTTGTTTAAACCTGTGTGGCATCTTCCCCCTCACTCTCTCTTGCTCCTACTCTTGCCATGTGACACCCTAGCTCCATCATTGCCTTTCACCATGATTGGAAGCTTCCTAAGGCCCCGCCAGAAGTCAAGCAGATGCTGGCACCATGCTTCCTGTACAGCCTGCAGAACCATGAGCCAATTAAACCTCTTTTCTTTATATATCACCCAGCCTCAGATATTCCTTTATAGCAATCCAAAATGGACTAACACAAGCTCCATCTCCCAGGACCATGTCCACCTGGGGAATTATGTGGAAGTGACTTCCACACTCATTGCCCATGCCCACACAGTGCTGTGTGCATTGAAACACCACAAAGTTGGTACTATTTAGGCAAGTCTGCACACTCCAGTCCATAATTCTGTTGCTATAAATACTGCTCTCTACCCCTTGGCCAGCATCATTTAGATGTTTGCTTATACCTGCTAGTGAATAACTGATCTAGCAACATGGAGAATAAACAAGGGCTCCAAGACCTCAAGTGGAGGAGACCAGGCTAGAGTGAAGGCACTCTGCCAGGCAAGCTACCTTGGGACATGTAGTCGAGGTTTGGCAGGGGGTCTTGGGACTGAGTCTGCGGATGCCCCAGAAAGAAGCAAGGAGAGTCCAAGGTGGCTGCTGGGGCTGAGAGACACTGCAAAACTAAGAACCCAGAGCTTGAGCTTAATCATGAGAATGAGCCCCGAGCACCCAGGAATGCCAGGCGGCTCCACGGTAACCGATAATGTCCAGGCAAAGACCGCTCATATGACTGTTATTTGTGAAATCTCCAAATCCAAGGCTTCTTTTGAAAAGGTCAACTCGGGATCAAGGAGGTAGCAGGCCTTCAAAGACAAAGACAATCTAAACAACCTCATTGATTTGGTGGAAAATCACTCAGGAAGGGGGTTTATGGATTTAAAGGCTAAGCTAAGATCTCTAAGAACTTAGGGAGTAGGGTTACAGCTGGCCAACTCCAGACTTCCTTCAAGCTCCCGCCCCCGTCACAGGGTTTGTCCTGAAAGCTGTGATTATGCTGGTGGCTTTTACTGCCCTGACTCCTGGATTCCCTCAGTTCTTTGGGTGAAAGAGGTTAGAGAAATGCAGGAAGCAGCAGCTACTGAAATTAGGATAGCCTACAATCATTGATCCCTAGGGAAGATAATAATAGCGATGAGAGCTGATACACTGTGCTCAAAGCACCCTATAAATATATATACTCTTTGAATCATTTTATTTTTTAATTATTAATTTTTTTCTTTTGGGGGGCAACACTTCACTCCATAAAATAGAAGGCGTGCTCCCCTAATGTCTATTTTAAAGTGGAGGAAATTGGCATTTAAGTAGCTTGCCCAAGGTCACATAACAGTAAGCGATGAGGCTAAACTTCAAGCTCTGGCCATCAGTACTCATCTGTACTCTTATCCATTAGGTTAAAGGCGCTGGTCTTAAATGTTACTCAAACCAGGAGGAAGGAGGTGAATATGTACTGAGTGTCTGCTATGTGTTAGACAGCATGCTAAAGGCTTTTTCACATGATATTTCATCTATGCCCTCACAACTACCCCCTGAAGTTGGCACCATCATCTCTGGTTTGGGTTTTGTTTGTGGGTTTTTTTGTTTGTTTGTTTGTTTGTTTGTGAGACAGGGTCTCACTCTGTTGCCCAGGCTAGTGCAGTGGTGCGATCTCGGCTCACTGAAGCTTCTACTTCCCTGGCTCAAGCAATCCTCTCACCTCGGCCTCCCAAGTAGCTGCGACCACAGACATGCGCCCAACACACCTGGCTAATTTTTTGTATTTTTAGGAGAGACGGGGTTTCACCATGTTGCCCAGGTTGGTCTCGAACTCCTGGGCTCAAGCAATTCACCTGCCTCGGCCTCCCAAAGCGCTGGGATTACAGGCATGAGCCACTGTGCCTTGGCCTCTGGTTTGGTTTTTACAGATGAGAAAGCCTCTATAATTTGCCCAAGGTCAAAACAGCTTCTCCTGGCAAAACTGAGATTCATACCCTTGGCTATCTGATTCCAAAGCCCTCAACGGACAAGGTGAATGCCACAGAAAAGTGACTGCCCTCACACCCGACACTCCCTCCAGTCTCATATGCTCCATTCTGTAGTTCAAATGTCCCCAAATGTGTAGCTGTCGGAGGAAGCAAGGGTGAGAGGTGTCTCCAGCTACAGTTTGGTTTCTTTGCCACAGTTACACTTTACAGGTTTCTTGTTTTTATGTCATGCTTAGTTTTGTTTCTTTTTGTGTAGTGTGTTGTCTCCCAAACTAAACTGTTAGTACCTTGAGGACAGGGACATTGACTCACATTTGCTCATGTGACCCTCCCGCATACCACGTCTGACACAATCACAAGAACAGAGACAGCACTCAGGAAATATTTTCTGAGTGAAGAAATAACTCTTAGAACTGTGCAGCTCAAACCTCACTCAAGTCTTTCCAGGCTGCTCTGCAGTAAACAAGTTGGGCACAGTAGCAGTTTGCTGCATTGTAAGAGTTTAACCACCCAAAGCGAGTAGATGCCAGATGAAATGACCTAAGGAAGCCCCCAGACAGGGAAGACCTCTCATTTGGGGTGCCCCAAGATCAGGCATGGAGGGGATTCGAATGCAGACCAATCAACTTCTCACTCTTAGACCTACACTCAGTATTTATTGAGCACCTGCTGCATACTAGGCACCCTACTCAGAAGGGAAGAGAAAGATGCAAGACAAGGAGCTCACTCTCACCCGGTTTATAATGTAATATACCTTGATCTTGACCTACAGCCTTGGTGTTGGGTTTCCTCCTCATCTTTGTGGGGGGTGCAAGTTAGCTGAAGAGCAGAGATACACTAGGCTGTAAACAGAGAAGTTGCTAAGTTTAGGTGAAGAAAATGAGTTTCACAAGGAAAGTTTTCTGATTAAAGAAAAAAAAAGGAACACTGACAAAGGCCGTGTTTTATTTTTTTAGCTAAGCCCGGTATTTATGCTTGCTTTCTGTCATCATGAACTCAGGAGCTTCCTGGCACACACTCCTCCTTTTAAGGACTTGGTGTTCCCCTTGAAGTTGTCCTCATGGTGAACTCCACAAAGGGCCAGCCTAGGTCTACTTTGGGTGCAGAAGTGAAGAATCCACTGCCTTTTCTTTCAGTGAGAGAACAAATCACTGTCACCTCAATACATTAATGTCCCTCTAGCTGACTGTGCTGAAAGCCAGTGGTCACAGAACTTCCCCATGACTCGGCTAGGAAGGAGGAAAAATGAGTGGGTGTCTTTCAAACCACCCGGCCAGCTGAGATCACATCAGATCACATCATGCAAATCTTACTCCAAAGTTTTCACATTTGAAGTAGGCGATGTGCAAAGCGCCATTCAAATGCTTTGGCACTGATTGCCCACCAATTCTGTCCCAGACACCAGCAATCAACAGCCAACAGAGGGATTCTCCGGTCTTCTGCATTCCCTTAACACTAACCCCCCATCTATCCCCCCCAACTCAAAGGTGCCACTCCCTGACCTTTGACAGATAAAACAGCCCAAAGGAGAATAATTGTCTCCTTTGTCTGCAAGGCAACATTCTGGCATTCCTAAAAGGGATGCTCACGTGACGACCAATGTTTCTAATCCTCCCATGTTTCCTTCTAAATCTGGATGGACTTTCTGGTAATAGCCCTCCTATTCTGATTTTTTCAGGGGTAAAACCCTGCCAATTACTTACTGGCAGGCCCTGGAAGAGTTGCTGCTTCATGGACTGCCATGGGCAAAACCCAGTTCCTCTGGAGCATGCACTTCAAGAAATAGATAGGATGGGACCCATGTAGCTTTTTCCTAAGAAGCCAACTTCATAAGTTAACTAAGCTTGCCTCAGGATCCCAGACAGACAGCTGGAAAGAAAAAGAAATCTCAAGCTTACACCAAAAAAACTATTAGTCACTCACATCTATAACGCCCTGAGAGAGAGAAAGAGAGAGATTGCAGCACCATTAGATCTGGCCCTGTTATTTAGGGAGTTACTCAGGGACCTGCTTAGCTAAAAACATCTCCTAATATCCTGCTTTGAAGTCACCCGCCCTCCTACTTGGGCTGACATTTGCACCATTAGCCGCTCCGGTGTGACTGGCTTATAGTGTAATCTCTCTTCCCTTCAATGTGAACTCTACAAGAACAGAGGGCTATTGCCAACAGGGACCTTCCCTTTCCCATTCATTGCTGCATCCCCAGCTGTGAAAATGTTTGTTGTTTGGCACAGAGTAGATGCTCAATAATATTTGTTCAATAAATAAAATAAAGGCTATGGTGCATTGTCTAAAAAAAAAACACATGACAGGCCAAGGGGAGGAGGGCCTTCTTTAGTGGCTTTCATTTCTCTCATTGCCTGCTGTCAACTGGAAAGACATAGGGAAGCTGGCTGGAGGGGATGCAATTCAGGACAAGCAGGATTCAAGGAACTTGTTGTAGAACAGAGACAAAGATGTGATAGCCAGGGGACTGTGTGGGTTATTTGCAAGGGACAGAGGTCTGGCCCAGGATGGGGGCACACTAATAAAGGACATGGCTTTTGGTGGGGCAGCATGAGAATACGGGGGCAGCCATACCCAGGGAAGACAATGAGGAACCTTCCTCCCTAAGGAGAGATATAAGAATTCTGGAGAGAGAAGCTTGTCGAACGGAAACTGCAACATCTTCCTAAGGGTTCCAACATCTTCACAAGGGCTGTCCAAGCCCTACCGATCCCCATTTGTTACCATCGATCATTGCCACTTGCTAACTGTGAGGGGCTGCGAGAAAACTTGGTAGGGCCAGGACCACCATGCCCTCAGGATAAAACTTCTCCCTCCCAGGCCTATGTCCTGAGGGTGGGGATGAATCAGTTCTGTGCTATGCCACCACAGCCATTTTCCTACACTGAAGAGAGGAACCATCTTAGGCACATATAGACTCAAACGTTGCATCGTGCCACTCCTGGCAAAAGGCCCCTCTGCAGCAAGCGGTCAGTTTCCTGGAATGAAAAAGAACCAGAATGCTCCACAGGATTCCTGGAGCCGCCGAACAGCTCAGCTCAAGAGGATCAAATCAGCAAGTATAGCTTCCTTTCTTTGCCGATGAGAGGAAGGCTTTGAAACCCAGAAGCTCTGAGAGAGTCTCCTACGGTAAGGATGATGGAGCTTATCCTGAACCATGAGCCGGTGTAAAGGCAGGAGTGCTGAGCCCTCTACATGGAGGGCATGGCCCCCAATCCAGGCAGGACACGATGTGTGTCTAGAGAAGCCCTTTTTATTCTACTGTCAAAGGGCAAGTCCAGAGTATTTTTTGATTTTTTAGATGAGAACTCACACTGTTGCCCAGGCTGGAGTGCAGTGGTGCAATTACTGCTCACTGTAACCTCAAACTCCTGGGCTCAAGTGATCCTCTCTAGCTCCCAAGTAGCTAGAACTACAGGCATGTGCCACCACACCCAACCAACTTTTTAACTATTTTTGTAGAGATAGAGTCTCACTATGTTGCGAAGACTGGCCTTAAACTCCTGGCATCAAGTGATTCTCCCACCTCAACCTCCCTAAGTGCTAGGATTACAGGTGTGAACCACCACACCGAGCCCCCCTTTTTTTTTGAGTTCAAGAAAGGGCACTAAAAGTCAACACTGGCAAAATATTTCACCATTTTCAAGGCACCTACACATCCGATATATTACCAGAGCCTCAAAACCACCCAGTGAGATCAAGAGCAGGATGCCCAAAGTCCAGACGAGGAAGCAGAGACCTGTCAGGGCCAAACTGTCTTCTCTACTTCATAACTGAGTTGAAGCAACTTGAAGTCACAGAGCTAATCATCAACATCGAGACTTCTGAGGTTCCATTCCCAGCCCTGCTCTCTTCCCATGGAACCTTGCTGAGTCTCAAAAAGGCACAAAGCAGCATCATATCCCCAGAAGACATGGTCTGAGACTCAGGATGATCCAGAACCACTTCTGGTTTGGAGCCAGCCAATTCATGAATCACTGTTTGCTCAAATAAACTCTTAAAAAAATTTTAATTGCACCTCCGTTTACCTTTTTTAACACTAGCATGTTGTAGAACATGAGTTTGGTAGAGAGGGAAAAGATAGATATGGACTCAGTAAATGTTTACAGAGGGCTTACTTGGTTCCAGGAGCTGTTTCACATAGACATTGCCTCATTTAGCTTTCATGGCAACCCTGTGAGGCAGGCATTCTTGCTATAGAAAAAAAAGCTGATGCCCAAAGAGGACAGGTATCCTGCTGGAGGCCCCAAACATGGCTGCTGGGTCCAGCTTCCATGGCTTCTATACCAGGAGTTTTCAAACTTCAGTGGGCATCAGAATCCCTAGAAGGAGAATCAAAAATACATATTCCTGGGTCCCAACCTAGAGGAGCTAATTCCTTGGGTCTGCTCTGGTGCCCAGGAATTTGCTTTTTTTTTTTTCTTAAGACAGGGTCTCACTCTGTCCCTCAGGCTGGAGTGAGGTGGCATGATCTTGGCGCACTGCAACCTCCACCTCCCAGGCTCAGGTGATCCCCCAACCTCAGCCTCCTGGGTAGCTAGTACTACAGGCAGGCACCACCATGCCTGGCTAATTTTTTGTAAAGACGGGGTTTTTCCATGTTGCCCAGGCTGGTTTCCAACTCCTGGACTCAAGCAATCCTCCTGCCTTGGCCTCCCAAAGGGCTGGGATTATAGGTGTGAGTCTCTGAATTTGCATTTTTAATGAACACCCACGTGGTTCTGGTGCAGGGGCTCATGCAGCATACTTTAGAAACAATTGATCTCCACCACTCTGAGGAAGGAAATCAAGAGAATTCTCAGCTGCTGGCTTCCCCTATGTACCCTAGGCAGGAATGGTGGGAGAGAGGTGTGTTCCTGTCTAGCTTCTCAGCAGAGAAGGGATGAATCCTGGGTGTGCTCAAATGGGTGTCTCCACAAACCTGTCCAGCACCCAACAGGAAGCCCGGGATAAAGGTCTAAGGAGGCCTAGATTGCTCAAAAGGCAGCTACTAGCCCAAACAAACAGCCTTGAGAATGAACCCTGCTTTAACATGGATGCCTCACCAGGGTGGTGGCTCACATCTGTAATCCCAGCACTTTGGGAGACAGAGGAAGGCAGATCACTTGAGCCCAGGAGTTCAAGACCAGCCCTGGCAACGTGGCAAAACCCCATCTCTACAAAAAAATACAAAAATTGGCCAGGCGTGGTAGCATGAGCCTGTAGTTCCAGCTATTCGAAAGGATGAGGTGAGGTGGGAGGATCACCTGAGCCCGGGGAGGTTGAGGCTACAGTGAGCCGTGATCATGCTACCGCACTCCAGCCTGGGCGACAGACTGAGACACTGTTTCAAAAAACGAAACAAAAGCCCACGAATGCCTTATGCCTGCTCACCTCCTATGTTTTCCAGTAGATGAACACAGCAAATAGACTTGCATACAGACAGCTACCTCTAGAGCCGCCAAAGGAGACCCAGCCATGTCAACCCAGTCATTGTATGCAGAAATCAGGAGTTTCCAGGGGAGAGAAGAAAAAAAGGAGAAAACCAGCTCCCAACCTTGCTCCAGCTTCTGTGTCCCTCTTTTCCGGAGCTGGCAGGGCTGTGCAATCAAAAGCAGCCTCCTGGAACTGAAAAATACTTGTGTTCAACTCCTCTCTGGAGAAGCAATCGGAGGGGAGCCAAAGCAAACACTCCTCCCTCCTAAGGCTCCGGACACACGGCTGAACCCAAAGAAGTTGGGAAGGAAGTAAGATCTATCCTCACCTCCTGTCTCACGCTTCTACAAACACAGATGGTGCTGCTGTTATCTGCGCTCATGCTGGGACAAGGCTGCGTCTTGAATTGTGTTGGGGTGAGAGGCTGAGCTCAAGTTTTTGCACAGCATGAAAAAGGAAAGATGCCTGTAATCAAGTCAGAAAGCAGAAGTGTCTGGCTGGGCCACCAGAGCTTACAGGGTGCCCTCCCACCTATGAATGACTCACCAAAGAAAAAGGCCCTTAGCTCTGTAGAATCAAGGGAGGGGAGATATTCCACTGGGTTAACTTGGGAATGGTGCTAGGTAGAAAGAAGTCAGGAGGTCAAGAAAGAAAGAAGAGGAAACACCACATATCACCTTAACCCTATGGTGATGGTGATGGTGGTGGTGGTTGTTGTTTTAATCATCCTTGATGGCACTCCAACCTACATCCTGCAATCCACACAGGGCTGTTTGATGTTGAGGCTTGGGGGGAGTTCAAGTCAAGGGAAGGACATCCTGTTAACAGCATTGTTGGAAAAAGATCAAGAACAAGGAGATGGAAAATAGCTGTGAACACCTGATAAGCCTGGGCGCCCCCCGCCCGGTCCCCCTACCCCTGCCCGCTTCCTTCAGTCTCAGGTTTGTGAGACTAAAGTCTTGTGCACAGGCATAGGGGTTGACCCAGTGAGTATCTGTGTCACCCCAGAGTCTCCAAAGTCTTCATCACCGCACTCTGGGAATATTACACCAACTTCCTGCACCCATATTGCTTTTAGTTTAAGTAGCTCTCAAGAGGCACAAGTCTCCATCAGGATACTACTGGGATACTTCCTGGAATGGCCCAACCTCCCCTATGTACCAACCCCTGGTCACTTCACTCATTAGGAATCAGCTCAACCTTCACCTTAAGGAAGCTGCCCTGCTTGTCCACACTGCACCCACACTGGGGCAATGTCCGGTAGTATTAGGAGAGATTTCAGTATTGGCCTCTCTTTCTAGATCCAGAACCAACAGAAGACAGAGGCGATTACCTTTATTGATGATGGTACTGAAAACATCTGTTCTTTATTTAATACTTTTTTTTTTTTAGGTAGAGACAGGGATCTTACTATGTTGCCCAGGCTGGTCTTGAACTCCTAGGCTTAAGCAATCCTCCCTCTTGGCCTCTCAAAGTGCTGAGATTACAGGCATGTGCCATGACAGCAGACCTCATTTAGCACTTCTTATCTGAGAAACTACTATCTAAATGCTGTCCACATATTGTCTCATTGAATCCCTTCCTGTAGCTTCTGCAGTTGCCAGTATGAATGCTATTTTACCAAAGAAGCCCAAACCTATGAAAGTTATGAGACTTGTCAAAGGGTACACAGCAGATCTAGCGACAGTATTCTCCCATCCAAGTACTAACCAGGCCCGACCCTGCTTAGCTTCCGAGATCAAACAAGATCGGGTGCATTTAGGGTGGTATGGCCGTAGACGACAGTATTCTCAACACCCTCGGCCTGGCACAGTCCAACGCACACTGTAAGGATTCAGTAGCTTTTTCCACATAAGGAATAAGAACAAGTCACATCAAGAAGACAACCCAGGCATGAGAATCTTCTCCTCCAACCACCTGAACTCTCAGTTAACTGACTGGTCATCTTAATTTCTTTCAGGAAGTGAAAACTTGTTAATTTGCCCATCCATCTGCAAGCAGCTGCTATGCCCAGGGCCTTGCTCTGAGACACAGGACAGATGTGTCAGTGAAACAGGAAATTTTCCTTGACCCCTTTGTGGGCTTCATGACAGGGGTGCCTCACTTAGCCCTCAGTTCTCAACCCCTCGAGGGAGTGGGAGCACACAGGCAAGCGGGCACAGGAGCTGGAGTGATCGCTTTTGGGCACCAGCAGGAGAAAAACTCCATGAGGGTACTGCGGCAGCATCTAAGGGGGGAGTATCTGTGACCCCTGAAGCTCCAGAGTGTGTTTGTTACACTGCGCTCCTTTAGCTTAAGTGTTTAACAGCTCAATAGACCCTCTGCCTTTTCATGAGGGCAGAGAGCCAGTGAGACAGCTTTCTCTATCCTGAGCTCTTACCTGGCATCCAGGAAAAAAATCAGATAGCACAAACGAATTGAAAGATGGTAAATGCAGAGGATTTTATTGCCGATAGAAGTGGCTGTCAGTGGGAAGGGGAGCTGGAAAGCAGATGGAGCAGGAAGGTATTCCACCCCTGAGGTCTGGCTGTCCCCAGCTGACTCTTCTCTGAAGTCCCGCTGTCCAGCCGTCTCTCTAAAGTAAACCTGCTTCTCTCTGATGTCTGGCTAATGCTTCTCCCCTTCTCTGCTCTCTGTCAGTAGAGCCTGGGGGTTTTAAGGCTATAGGATGGGGGTTGGCCAGGAGTGGTTTTGGAAAAGGCAATATTCCAGCAGGAAAATGATGTAAAGTTCTCACTTTGGGCTGCGGTTTCAGGCTTGAGGGTGGGGCCCTCGCCAGGGACCCCACCCTTTTCTGCCTAGAATTTCTCTGCCTCCTGTCCCTATCATCAGCCAAGGTTCTGGCCCTCTGGAAGTTTCCCATTTAGTAGGAAGATGTGGAGATGGAGGGGAGGTGGACAAGAGAAGGGATAAGGAAGAAGGAGAAATAGACGAACCACCAGAAAACAAAGGCCAGTGTTGGAACAGACCCAGCAGGTACACAGGCTTGGAAATGCATTCTTTAGAGCATAAAGGCTGATGTGGATGAGGGCAGCAGGGGAACAGGGGTTCCAGCTAGAAGGGAACATCTCAAAAGCAGAGTATCTTTTGTTCGTTTGCTTGGTGGTGGTTAAATATACACAATTGTTGATTTTTAAGCAATTTTTAACTGTATAGTTCAGCAGCGTTAAGTACATTCATACTATTGTGCAACCATCACCTCCATCCATTTCTAGAACTTTTTTCATCTTCCCAATCTGAAACTCTGTACCCGTTAAACAGTAACTCCCCATTCTCTCCTTCCCTCAGCTTCTGACAATCACCATTCTACTTTCTGTTTCTACTGCAGGTAACTGTGGTATAATAAAAATATTATTTGGTCTTTGTCCTCTGTGCTTGGTACAGAGCTACAAAAATCCTTGGGATTTCCTGAGTGATAGGAATATCTCATCATTTCCTAAGGGGCCCCTTTCCAAGACACCAGAGTTTATGCTAATGAGGTGACATAGGTAGCCCTCCTAGACAGCCTCAGGAGGGGGCTGGTCACCAGAAAGACCAGGGATTAGAACTTGGAAATGTACAACCCCATCCCTCTACCCCCTCCAGGGAGTTTATGCTAATGAGGCAACATAGGTAGCGCTCCTAGGTAGCCTCAGAAGGGGGCTGGTCACCAGAAAGATCATGGATTCGAACTTGGAAATGTACAACCCCATCCCCCTACCCACTCCAGGGAGGGGAGGGGAGGGGAGGGGGCTAGAGACCGTGCTGGATAAAATCTCTTGAACAGTTGAGTTTCAGAGAGCTTCTGGTTGGTGAGCACATCCAGGTGCTGAGAGGGTGGCAGGATAGGGCTTGGAAGCTCCACAATCCCCATCCCAATTTCCTGCCCTATGCATCTCTTCCATTTGGCTGTTCCTGAGTTGTATCCTTTATAATAAACTAGGAAATGTGAGTAAAGTGTATAATAAACTAGGAAATGTGAGTAAAATGTTTTCCTGAGTTCTGTGAGTTGTTATAGCAAATCAAACCTGAAGAGGAGTTATGGGAACCCCCAATTCACAGCTGGTTGGCCAGAAGTTTTTTATATATTTCATTGTATATAACAACGTATATGTATATATTTCACTGTACATATATATACACACATACATACACATACACACACTACATTTTATTCATTCATCTGGAAGCACAGACACTTGGGTTGCTTCCAAGTTTTAGTTATTGTGAATAATGCTGCTATAAACACGAGTATACAAATATCTGTTCAAGTTCCTGCTTTCAATTTTTTACCTAGAAGTGGAATTGCTGGATCATATGGTAATTTTATTTTTAATTTTTTTGAGGTGCTTCATGTTGTTTTCATAGCAGCTGCACCATTTTACATTCCCACCAGCAATGCAAAAGAGTTCCAATGTCTTCACATCCTTACCAACACTTTTTTTTTTAATAATAGCCATCCTAAATAGGTGTGGAGTGGTATCTGACAGTGGTTTTGATTTGTATTTCCCTAATGTTGAGCACCTTTTTAGGTGCTATTGACTGTTGGGAGCAAGCCCCCCAAAATCTGGCCATAAACTGGCCCCAAAACTGGCCATAAACAAAATCTCTGCAGCACTGTGATATGTCCATAATGGCCCTAATGCCCAAGCTGGAAGGTTGTGGATTTACGGGAATGAGGGCAAGGAACACCTGGCCCGCCCAAGGCGGAAAACCGCTTAAAGGCATTCTTAAGCCACAAACAAAAGCATGAGCAATCTGTGTCTTAAAGGCGTGTTCCTGCTGCAATTAATTCAGCCCATCCCTTCATTTCCCATATGGGATACTTTTAGTTAATTTAACATCTATAGAAACAATGCTAATGACTGGTTTGCTGTTAATAAATACGTGGGTAAATCTTTGTTGGGGGTTCTCGGCTCTGAATGCTGTGAGACCCCTGATTTCCCACTTCACACCTCTATATTTCTGTGTGTGTGTCTTTAATTCCTCTAGCGCGGCTAGGTTAGGGTCTCCCCAACTGAGCTGGTCTTGGCAATTGACCATTTGTATATTTGTTAGCTCATTTTTAAATTGGATTGTTTGTTTGTTTTTTTTTTTGCGGTTGAGTTGTAAAGAGTTCTTTACACATTCTAGAAATTAATTCCTTATCAGATATAAGATTTGCAAATATTTTCTCCCAAATATGGGTGACTTTTTTAGTCTGTTAATAGCATCCTTTGATGCATTAAAGTTTTACATTGATGTAGTTTAATTTTTTCTTTTCTTTTAGTACCTCTGCTTTTGGTATCTGACCCAAGTAATCTTTGCCAGAACTAACATTATAAAGCATTTTCTCTGTTTCCTTCTAAGAGTCTTATGGTTTTAGCTTTTATGTTTAAGTCTTTGATCCATTTTTCAGTTAATTTTTGAATATAGTATAACGATGTTACTGGAAAGGGGTTCTGATACAGATCTCAGTAGAGGTTTCTTGGATCTTATACAAGAAAGAATTTGGGGGAAGTCCATAAAGTGAAAGCAAGTTTATTAAGAAAGTAAAGGAATAAAGAATGGCTACTCCATAGGCAGAGCAGTGGCATGGACTGCTCAGCTGCTTATATTTATTGTTACTTCTTGATTATATGCTAAACAAGATGTGGATTATTCATGAGTTTTCCGGGAAAGGGGTGGGCAATTCCAGGAACTAAGGGTTTCTTTCCTTTTTAGGCCACATAGGGTAACTTCCTGATTTGCTATGGCATTTGTAAACTGTCATGGTCCTGGTGGGAGTGTCTTTTAACATGCTAATGCATTATAATTAGCATATAATGAGCAGTGAGGATGACCAGAGGTCACTTTCATCACTGTTTTGGCTTTGGTGGGTTTTGGCTGGCCTCTTTACTGCATCCTTTTAACAGCAAGGTCTTTGCGACCTGTACCTTGTGCCAACCTCCTATCTCATCCTGTGACTTAGAATGCCTAACCTCCTGGGAGTGCAGCCCAGTAGGTGTCAGCCTCATTTTACCCAGCCCCTATTCAAGATGGAGTCGCTCTTGTTCAAACGCCTCTGACAACACAAGGGTCTAATTTCATATGGTTATCCAGTTTTCCCAACACCCCTTATTGAAAAGACTGTCTTTTCCTCATTGAATGGTCTTGACACCCTTGATGAAAATCATTTGACCACATACACAAGGGTTTATATCTGGACTCTCTTCTCTATTTCATTGGTCTATATGCCTGTCTTTATGCCAAATACAACATTGTCTTCATTACTGTAGCTTTGTAGTAAGTTCCGACATCAGAAAGTGTGAGATCTCCGATGCTGTTCTTCTTTTTTGAGATTGTTGTGGCTACTGATGGTTCCCTGAAATCCCATATGAATTTTAGGGTAAGGATTTTTCTATTTCTATGAAAACCATTACTGGGATTTTGACAGGGATTACATTAAATCTATATATTGCTTTAGATAGTTTTGACATCTTAACATGAAGTCTTCCAATCCGTAAACACAGGATGTCTTTCCATTTATTTACACCTTATTTAATTTCTTTCAGCAACATTTTGTAGTTTCCAATATACTTGACTTTTACATCCTTGGTTTATTCCTAAGTATTTTATTTTTTAATGCTATTATAAATGGAATTGTTTCTTAATTTTTTGGGGGGGGGTGTTGTACATTGTCAGTGTATAAAAATGAAGTTGAGTTAAAGCAGGTTAAAATGTTGCAAATTCCATCTATTCAGTTTGCAGAGAACTGGGGACTGGAGGCACAGCATGGGGGAGGAAATGGGGCAAAGGTGAGTTAAAAAGCCATGAAATTTCCTATGGCTTTGAATGTGTCTTTTTCTTGGTTGGGTGGGCTTGGTTGCTGTAGATCTTTGACTTCCAAAGCTTGTCAAAAGAAGTTATTTTAGCCACTTCCTAGTTGGTTATTTAACATTTCTGTAGGAAAATGAGGGCCTGGAGCTTTCTAGTCCACCATCTTGCTGACATTCCTCTCCACTGCCTAAATCTTAGACCCAAAGGGTATAACCCAAGGAGATAGTATGGAGCCTCAGTGGTCAGAGCAGAGCCAAGGCTGAGAGGTAACAAGAGACAAGTTAAATAGGAAAAGGTGGGGAGCGGAGGTCTGGAAATTGGAAACTGAAGACTTAGACTTAATTCTGTGAAATTAACAAGCAACTATAACAATGCCTGGCAAGGCAACAAAGCCAAGGCATGCGCTGGGTGATAGCTCATGCCTGTAATCCCAGCCCTGTGGGAGGCGGAGGCAGCAGGATCGCTTGAGGCCAGGAGTTCAAGACCAGCCTGGGCAAAGTAGTGAGACCCAGATTCTACAAAAAATAAAATAACTAGCCAGGCATGGTGGCACATACCTGTAGTCCCAGCTACTCTGTAGGCTGAGGCAAGGATCGCTTAAGCCCAGGAGGTCAAGACTGCAGTGTGCTGAGACTGTGCCACTGCATTCCAGCCTGAGCAACAGAGCAAGACTCTGTCTCTAAAAACGGAAAAAAGAAAAATCACTTCCAAGATTAGGTTATAGAGAAAAAAAAATATAAAAAGCCAAGGCAGAAGCCAGGCCAGGCCAATCTGAGCTTCTTCCAGTGCACTGGATTGAATGTCAAAGAACCCAAAAGATGTGGAGCATATGCATGGTTTCAAGCTCATATCCCATTAGGGCTCCTCAACTCCCCAACCCTAAGGTTTTCAGGACGTTTTCAGTACCTCAGGTGAATCAAAATCATGAGCCTCAGCCCAGCCTCTGCCCTCAATCTGAAGGGTGAGTGGCCCAAGCTCCCACTGCTTCCCACTGAACCTTACAGCAAACGTATCATAAATCAACCCTGACCAGCTGGGTGCAGTGGCTCACACCTGTAATCCCAGCACTGTGGAAGGCTGAGGTGGGAGAATAACTTGAGGCCAGGAGTTCAAGACCAGCTTAGGCAACAAAGCGAGACCTCATCTCTACAAAAAAAGAAAAAGAAAAAAAAAAATCAGCCCTGACAAGAATATGGCTCCAAGCAGGCAGTCTTTTCCCATGCATGCTGCTCTTTCCTCCTCGTGGTTTCAAAAAGTGTCTGATCACGAGCCTTATTTGGGAGGCCAGTTGAAAACATATAATGCTGGCTGGGCATGGTGGCTCACACCTGCAATCCCAGCACATTGGGAGGCTGAGATGGGCGGATCACCTGAGGTCGCGAGTTCAAGACCAGCCTGGCCGACATGGTGAAACCCTATCTCTACTAAAAATAGAAAAATTAGCCAGACGTGGTGGCGGGCACCTGTAATCCCAGCTACTCAGGAGGCTGAGGCATGAGAATGACTTGAACTTGGGAAGTGGAGATTGCAGTGAGCCAAGATCACCCCACTGCACTCCAACCTGGGGGGCAAAGTGAGACTCTATCTCAAAAAAAAAAGAGAATACAAAATGCTGGGCCCCTTTCCTAGACAGTTTGGTTAAGACAGTCTGTGTGGGGCCGCAGACCTCTGTATTTTCATCTATCCCCATGGATTAGGCAAATCACCAACCACTTCTGGAAGTTCTGGGCTAATCCCCCAAGTTGAGTTACTAGCCTCTGACATTGTTTCCACCTGCCCACGTTTGGTGAGAGCTTTTCGAGGAAGGAGAAAGCAGAACTGAAATTCAGTTCCATGCAACCTTTCCCAGAAGTCTCAAACTGGCTTCTTCTTCTTCTTCTTCTTTTTTTTTTTTTTGAGATGGGTCTTGCTCTATAGCTCAGATTGGAGTGCAGTGGCATAATCATGGCCCACTGCAGCCTCAACCTCCTGGGCTCAAGCAATCCTCCCACCTCAGCCTCCTGAGTAGCTAGGACTACAGGTGAGCTCTACCATGCTCAGCTAATTTCGTACTTTTTGTGGAGACAGGGTCTCACTATGTTGCCCAGGTTGGTCTCAAACTCCTGGGCTCAAGCAGTCCTCCTGCCTCAGCCTCCCAAAGTGCTGGGATTACAGACATATGCCACCATGCCTGATGTTCAAACTGGCAATTTAATCTGATGCAGTTTTAAGACATAAAATACATTTTTAAAAAATGAAATGAATTAGTTACCAGCATTTAAAAAACAGATTTCATAAGCCAGCTACAGAAGGACAAGTATGATTCCACTTTTACAAGGATCCTAGAATAGGCAAATTCATAGGGACAGAAAGTAGAATAAAGGTTACCAGGGGATGTGGGGGCGGGGGGGGGGGGCAAAAGAGGAGTTATTGCTTAATGAGTACAGATTTTTTATTGACGATGATGAAAAAGTTTTGGGTATAAATAGTGGTAATGGTTACACAACATTGCAAATGCATTTAATGTCACTGAACTGTACACTTAATGAATGGTTAAAATGGTAAATATTATTTATATTTTATCATGATTACAAAATACAGATTTCACATAAAAATCTGGATTTCTGATTTCTCTTCAAAGGAAAAAAATGCAGATCTGACACCACCGAGTCATGCTTTGTATATATCAATGATTGGTGGGAGCTGAAGCAACTGGTGCCTTTAGATAGGATGAAAACTCTCAAGCTCACTGGGACCCCACCACACTCCAATATCATTTTTACTAGGCCTGCTTCAGCATTTATATGGACTGGCTGGCCCCCATAACCATTTCAGAGGGTGGTCTCAGACCTACCCCGTCTACCTTTAGTCACTACTGGCCTTGTTTTCTGCTCCCAGCCCTTGTCTACTCTCCTCCAATGCACAATAGGAGGCTAGAAAGCAGACAGTCATGCTTTTCCTCCCTGGCTGTCTGAGGATAGACCACCATCATGAACGACACAGTAACTATCCACACTAGAAAGTTCATGATCAACCGACGACTTCAGAGGAAACAAACAGTCATTGATATCCTTCACCCTGGGAAGGCAACAGTGCCTAAGACAGAAATTTGGGAAAAACTAGCCAAAATGTACAAGACCACACTGGATGTCATCTTTGTATTTGCATTCAAAACTCATTTTGGTGGTGGCAAGACAACCGGCTTTGGCATGATTTATGATCCCCTGGATTATGCAAAGAAAAATGAACCCAAACATAGACTTGCAAGACATGGCCTGTATGAGAAGAAAAAGACCTCAAGAAAGCAATGAGAGGAACGCAAGAACAGAATGAGGAAAGTCAGGGGGACTGCAAAGGCCAATGTTGGTGCTGGCAAAAAGCTGAAGGAGTAAAGGTGCTGCAATGGTGTAATCTGTGGCCATTGTGGATTTTTCACAAGAATATTAATAAACTAAACACTTTCATGTGAAAACACAAAAACAAACAAACAAAAAGTAGACAGTCATGTGAGCAAGCACTCTGTTTGCTGTCAATAGCAATAACAATCAATAGATGTGAACAAAAGAGTTTGCCTTCACCTCCGCAAACTTCCCTCAGACCTTGAAAGACCTCTGACATTACAAGATCCAAAATGACAACCCTGGACTGCAACATACCCAAGTGGCCATGACTTTGGAACAAGACTAGGCTGACCACACACTTTATGACTGTGAATCCCAAGTCAACCTCAGAAACTCTCAGCCTCTCTGGGTGATACCATATGATCAGCCTGTCCAGCAAACACAACCTCCTCAAGGCCTGAGTCACTTTCTAGAGCCTTTCGTTATCTGCTAGGATCTGATTTCCACTGCTGAAATACTATCATTGTTCTAGACCTGGACTATCCAGCTGGTTATGTTTATCCAACTAGTTAACCTAGGGGCCATTGCTTATGCGGCCATCTATAAGTATAAAATATACATGAGTTTCCAAAGACTTAGTAATGAATGTAAAATAGCACATTACTAACTTTATTATATTGACAACTTGTTGAAATAATATTTTGGATACATTGGGCTAAATACAACATAATCCTACATATAACTACAGTTTGAATGTGTCCCCCAGAATCTATGGGTTAAAGACTCAATCCCCAGTGTAACAGTGTTGAGAGCTAAGGTCTTTAAGAGGTGATAATGTGGCTAGGTATGGTGGCTCATGCTTGTAAACCCAGCACTTTGGGAGGCTGAGGCGGGAGGAACTCTTGAGCCCAGAAGTTCAAGACCAGCCTGCACAACATAGCAAGACCCCATCTCTATGAAAAATAAAAAATTAGCCAGGTGTGGTAGTGTGTGCCTATGGTCCCAGCTACTCTGGAGCCTGAGGCAGGGGATCACTCGAGCCCAGGAGGTTGGGGCTGAGGTGAGCTGTGTTCATGCTACTGTACTCCAAGCTGGTGACAGAGTGAGACCTTGTCTCTTAAAAAAAAAAAAAAAGTGATAATGTCATTATTACAGGAGTGGACTCATTATTATGAGGGTGGGTTTGTTATAAAAGTCAGTTTGTCCTCTCTTATTCTTTCTGTCACCCATGTGACGGCTCCTGCCATGTTATGATGCAGCAAGAAGGCCCTCACCAGATGCAGCCCCTCAATCATGGGTTTCCCAGCCTCCAGAACCATAAGCCAAATTAATTTCTGTTCAATGCGAATTACCCAGTCTGTGGTATTCTGTGATAGTAGCATAAAACTGACTAAGACAGAAAATTGATACCATGAAGTAGTCTGATGCCATAACAAATACCTGAAAATGTGGAAGTGGTTTTTGAACTGGAAATGGGTAGAAGGTGGAAGAATTTGGAGGATCAGGAGAGAAAAGTCTGCCATGAATGGAGTATTAAGGGGAATTCTGGAGAGGGCTCAGATGAAAAAAGAACTTTAAGAAGAGCCTAAAGCTTCTCAGGGATTACTTAGGTGGTCCTAATCAGAATGTTGGTAGAAATATAGACAGTTATAGACAGTAAAGACCATTCTGATGAGGTGTCAGATGGAAATGAGGAACAAGGTATTGGAAACTGGAGTAAAAGCCATTCTTGTTATCTACTTGCAAAGAACTTGGCAGAATTCTGTCAGTGTCTTAGGAATTTGTGGAAGACAGAACTTAAGAGTGATGAACTAGGATATCTGGTGAAAGAAATTTCTAAGCAAAATATTGAAGGAGCTGTATTGCTACTTTGAAGCACATATAGTAAAACATGAGAGGAGAGAAATGACTAAAAGGTGGAATTAGTAATGAAAAAGAAAGCAGAGCAGAAAGATTTGGGAAATCTGAAGGCTGGCCATGTAGACTGAAAAAGTGTCCGTAGGAGAAAAACCAAGGGCGTGGCCAAGAAATCATTTGCTAAAAAAATTAGTAGACAGAAGGCAACCAGGCCTATTCATCAAGACAATGAGAGAAAAACCCTGAAGACATTTCAGAGATTGTCTAAGCAGGCTGGGGCCTTGAGGACAAGTGCTATGGTTCGGATATGATCTGAGTTTGTCCCCTCTTAAACTTATGTTGAAATTTTATCCCCAATGGGGTGGTGTTGGGAGGTGAGGCTTAGTGGGAGGCATTTGGATCATGGGGGAGGATCCTCCACCAGCTGATCTCATGGAAGCAGATTCTCACTCTCGCAAGACTAGATTAGTTCCTGCAGAAATGGGTGAGTTCCCATGATAGTGGGTTGTTTTAAAGCCAAGAGATCCCTTGGGTTTGCCTCTTTGCACGTGTCCACTTGCCCTTTAACCTTCTCTGTCATGTTATAATGTAGCATGAGAGCTACAACCCCCTGCAGGCTGCAGGCACGCCCTTGAATGTCCCAGCCTACAGAACAGTGAGGTAAATACACCTTTTCTTTATAAATGACCCAGTTTCAGGTATTCTGTTATAACAACACAAAATGATCTAAGACAGACAATTTGTACCAAGGAGTGGGGTTGTGCCATAAAGATACCTAAAAATGCAGAAGCAGCTTTGGAACTGGGTAACGGGCAGAAGTTGGAGGAGTTTGAAGAAATAGGCTAGAAAACACCTGAATTGCTGTGAACAGGGCATTAAGAGTAATTTTGATGAGGGCTCAGAAAAAGACAAAAAGATGAGGGAACGTTTGGAACTTCTCAGAGATTGGTTAGATGGTTATGACCAAAATGCTGATAGAAATATGGACAGTAAAGGCCATTCTGATGAAGGAAAGTAGCGTTTATTTGGAAACTAGAACAAAGGTCACCCATGTTATGCCACAGCAAAGAACTTGGCTGCATTGTGTCCATGCCTTAGGGCTTTATAAAATACCAAACTTAAAAATGATAACCTAGGGCATCTGGCAGGAGAAATTTCTTTTTTTTTTTCTTTTTAAAGGTGGGGTTTCACCATGTTGGCCAGGCTAGTCTCGAACTCCTGACCTCAGGTGATCCGCCCACCTCGGCCTCCCAAAGTGCTGTGATTACAGGCATGAGCCACCATGCCCGGCCTAGGCAGAAAAATTTCTAAGCAGCAAAATGCTCAAGACACAGTGTGGTTACTTTGACAGCTTAAACACAGCAAAGGAGTGACCTAAAGGTGAAATGTGTAAGAAGCAGAGCATTAAAATTTAGAAAATTTGCAGCCTGGCCAAGTGGTAGAGAATGAAAGAACATTTTCAGAAGAGGAATCTAAGGGTGCAGCCAAGGGACCTTTTGCTAAAGAGATTAGTTCTGACAGAAGGGAGCCAGGTACTAACAGAACAATGGAAAAAAGGCCCTGAAAGTATTTCAAAAGTCTAAGGCCATTCCTCCTGTCACAGACCCAGAGGCCTAGGAGGACAGAATGGTGGGATACCACTGCCCTGAGCCACCTCAGGATGCTTCTCCTAGCTGCTCTGGCCAGAGCAGCCATGGCCCAATAGCCCCAGGTACAGCTTGGGCCACTGCTCTGGAGAGTGCAAGCTGTGGGTCTTGGTGGCATCCATGTCCACATGGTACTATTGTTCATGCATGTGGAATGCAAGAGTGGTGGGCATGGCAGCTTCCACCTAGATTTCAGATGATGTATCAGCAAGCCTGGGAGCAGGCCAGGCACAGTGGCTCATGCTTGAAATCCCAACTCTTTAGGAGGATGAGGTGGGTGGATCACTTGAGTTCAGGAGTTCAAGAACAGCCTGGGCAAAATGGCAAGACCTCATCTCTACAAAACAAAAACAAAAACAAAAAAGAAACAAAATTAACCAGGTGCAGTGGTGCATGCCTGTAGTCCCAGCTACTTGGGAGGCTGAGGCTGGAAGATTGATTGAGCCTCAGAGGTCAAGGTACAGTGAGCTGTGATCACACCACTGCACTCCAGCCTGGGTGACAGAGTAAGACCCTTTGTCAAAAAAAAAAAAAAAAAAAAAAAAAGGAATGAAGAGAAAAAGAGAGCCTGGGAGCCTAGGCAGAAACCTGCCATGTGGGGGAGCCACCACAGACAGCCTCTGCTAAGACAATGCCAAGCAGAAATGTGAGGCCACAGCAGAGGACTCTTCTGCAAAGAGTCTTCACTAGGACAATGCCTAGTGGAGCCACAAGAGTAGGGCCACCGCAAGGACCCCAAAATGCTAAAGTCACTGGCAGCATGTGACCTCAGCCTGGCTAAGCTTCAGGCATTTGATTCCAACCTGTGAGTACAGCCATGTGGGCTATGTCCAGCAAAGCCATGTGATTCCAACCTGTGAGTACAGCCATGTGGGCTATGTCCAGCAAAGCCATGGGGAAAGGGCTGCCTGAGGCATTGGGAACCCCCTCCTGGCACTAGTGTGCCCAGGATGCAAAACATTGATCCAAAGGAGATTATTCTGGAGGTTTAAGATTTAAAGTCTGCTGGCCAGGGCTTGGTGTGGCTCATGCCTGTAATCCAGGCACTCTGAGAGGCCAAGGTGGTAGGATCACTAGAGTGCAGGCATTCGAGACCACTATGGGCAACATGGCGAAACTCCGTCTCTACAAAAAAATACAAAAATTACTGGGTGTGGTGACATGGCCTGTGGTTCCAGCTACTTGGCAGGCTGAGGTGGGAGGATCACTTGTGCCCAGGTGGCAGAAATTGCAGTGAGCCAAGAACTCACCACAGCAGTCCAGCCTGGGTGAAAGAGCAAGACCCTATGTTTGAATGGTAATTTTACCCAATGCCTGTGCAACCGTTGTATATTGGAAGTAAACAACTTGTTTTAGAGTTTATAAGCTCATACCTGGAAAGTATGTGCCTTGAGTTTCAGATGCAGTTTTGGACTTTGGACATTTGAGTTGATGCTGAAACAAGTGTATTATTCCATTCTCACATTGCTATGAAGGAATATTGGAGACTGCGTAATTGATAAAGAAAAGAGGTTTAATTTGCTCCCAGTTCTGCAGGCTGTATAGGAAGCATGATGCTGGCATCTGCTAGGGTTCTGGGAGGCCTCAGGAAACTTACAATCATGGCAGAAGGCAAAGGGGAAGCACACACATCACCTGGACAGAGTAGAAGCAAGAAAGAGAGAGAGGGAGGATGTCCTGTACTCTTTAAACAACCATATCTCATAAGAACTGACTGTCATGAGAATAGCATCAGGGAGACAGTGCTAAACCATGCATGAGAACTTTACTCCCATGAGACAATCTCCTCCCACCAGGCCCCACCTCCAATACTGGGGACTGCAATTCAACATGAGATTTGGTGGGGACACAGACCCAAACCATATCAGCAAGTTAAGACTCTCAGGACTATAGAGATGGAATGACTGTATTTTGTATGTGAAAGGACATGAGTTTTGGGGGGCTAACAGCAGAATACTATGGTTTGGATATGATTTGAGTCTATACCTATGAAAACTCATGTTGAAATTGGATTCTCAATAGAGCAGTGTTGGGCGGTAGTGCCTGGTAGGAAGTGTTTGGGTCACGTGGGCAGATCCCCCATGAACGGCTTGGTGCTGATCTCACAGTAGTGAGTTGTCACTCTCATGAAACTGGATTGTTCTCAAGGGAATGGATTAGTTCCTAAGAGAGTGGGTTGTTATAAAGCTAGGATGTCCCTAGGTTATGCCTCTTCACATGCATCCACTTCCCCTTTAACCTTCTCTGCATGTTAGGACACAGCACAGAAGCCCTTGCCAGAAGCCAGGGCCATGCCCTTGAACTTTTCATTTTGCAGAACCATGAGCTGAATAAATCTCTTTTCTTAGTTACTCAGTCTCGGGCATTATTATGGCAACACAAAATCGACTAAGACAGCAAGGTTTCCAGATAGTCACCGTGGGACCTCAGCATTCACTGTCCAGAGCTGCCTCAGAACTCTGCTCCTTGCATTCTGGCATGGCATTCCTTGGCTACCCCAGCCATGGCTCAAGTGGTCCCAGGTGTGGCTTGATCTGCTTCTCTAGAAAGTACAAACTATAAACTTTGGTGGCATCCACATGATGCTAATCTGCAGGCGCATATAATGCAAGAGCTATGGTGCCATGGTGGCTTCCATCTAGATTTCAGAGAATGTCATGAACAGCTTGGGGGCTCAGGCAGAGACTTGTTTCAGGGGCAGAGCCACTGCAGAGAGCCCCCACAAGGGTAATGCCTAGTGGAGCCATGGAAGTGTGGCTATCACCAAGACCCCAGAACTGTAGAGTTACCAGTGTGCAACACTGGCCTGAGAGAGCTGCAGGCATGAGACTCCAACTGTGAGAGCTGCTGGGTGGACTGAGCCCAGCAAAGCTGTAAGGGCAGGGCTGCCTGAGGCCTTGGGGGACCAGTCCCTTCCCCAGTGTGCCCTTCTTTGACATAAAGTCAAAGAAGATTATTCTCCAGCTTTAAGACTTAATGTTGTTTTCCCCGTTGAGTTTTGGACTTAATTGGGACCAGTTACCCTTTTCTTCTTGCCTATTTCTCCTTTTTGGTATGTGTGAATGTCTATCCTATCTCTGTCCCGCCATTGTATTTTGGAAGCATATAACTTGTTAGTTTTGGGGGGATGTTTTTGAAACAGGGTCTCTCTCTCTGTCACCAAGGCTGGAGTGCAGTGGCATGTACATGGTTCACTGCAGTCTTGACCTCCTGGGCTCAAGCGATCCTTGTACCTCAGCCTCCCAAGTAGCTGGGACTACAGGCATGTGCAACCATGCACAGCTTCTTTTTTTAAAAAAAAAAATGTTGTCCAGGCTGGTTCTTGTTAATTTCATAGGTTCAGAGGTGGAGAGGAATTTGCCTCATCATGAACGGTGCCTTGAGTCTCCCTCATATGTGATTTAGGTGAGACTCTAGAATTTGGGCATTTGAGTTGATGCTGGAACAAGTTAAGACTTTCAGGGCTATTGGGATAGAATGAATGTGTTTTGTCCAAGAGAAGGACATAAAATTCTGGGGTCCATGGAGAGAATACTATGGTTTGAATGTGTCCCTTAAAGTTCATGTGTTGGGGGGCCAGGTGCAGTGGCTCACGCCTGTAATCCAAACACTTTGGGAGGCCGAGGCAGGGGGATCACTTGAGGTCAGGAGTTCAAGACCATCCTGGCCAACATGGTGAAACCCTATCTCTCCTAAAAATACAAAAATTTTCTGGGCATGGTGACAGGTGCCTGTAATCCCAGTTACTCTGGAGGCTGAGGCAGAATTGCTTGAATCGGGAAGTGGAGATTGCAGTGAGCCAAGATGCTGTCTGTGAACTCCAGCCTGGGTGGCTAGAATGAGACTCTATCTCAAAACAAAAACAATAACAACAACAAAAGTTCATGTGTTGGAAATCTAATTCCCAATGTAACACTACTGAGACATGAGACCTTTAAGAGGTGATTAAGTCATGAGGGCTCTACCTTCATGAATGGATCAATGTCATTAAAATGAGGGTGGGTTTGTCATAAAAGTCAGTTTGGCCCTCTCTTGTACTCTTTCTTGAACATGAGATGCCATTCACCATGTTATGACGCAGCAAGAAGGCCATCACCAGATGCTGGTCGCTTGGCCTTGGACTGCCCAGCCTCTCAAACTGTAAGCTAAATAAATTTCTGTTCATTACAAATTACCCAGTCTGTGGTATTCTGTGACAGCAGCATAAAACAAACTAAGGCATTTACTAAAATAATTTCACCTTTTCTTTTTACTTAAAAAAAATTTACATCTTTAATGCGGCTGCTAGAAAATTTAGTTACATGTGACTTGCATTTGTGGTCTGCATTATATTTCTATTGGACAGTGCTATTTTAGACAGACAGCTGTGGTTTCTATAAGACTGGTTCTGTAAAGTGACTGTATTCACTTCTAAAAGCAAACTGATTCTTTCCTATTCTATTTCTAGATTGCACTGTGCTATGAGCTACCCAAAGGTCCTGGCGAAGTCCCCTCACAAACCTCCATCCTATAGGACTCTCACCTGGGTTAGGACCAGCCTCGAATATCTTTTTTAGATCTTGCATCTATCTCATCCAGTACTACCAAGGAAACAAGGTTTTCTTTTGACCCTTGCACAGTAACAATGTGTGCATATCTCTTAAAACCCCACACAGCTCATTTCCCCTTGAAACAATGCTACAAGTGTTGCTAAAAATTCCAGGCTGTTACTACCTGGGGGCAACTGGTCAGAGCATACCAAGAAAAGGGAAGGGCCTCAGTTGTATTCTCCAGGCTCATCTTCCCTCCCTCATCCCAGCTCTGGATTCACTGGTTTCTTCCTGCTAAAGACTCCACCCTCACCTTCTTGACAATACAATGACCATGCTAGGTTAGAAGAGGCAGAATCAGCCCTCTAGCAGCAACTTCAAAAAAGAAGACAAGTGTTAGGCCCTCAAACTCTAAACAAAACTGCTGGAAACTATCACCAATAACCCTGGAGACGGGGGGAAAAATTAAATCCTCAGAATCTGCCTTTTCTTTTTTTTTTACATGTATGCTTGATGCACAAGTAATACTGGCCTACTGAGAGTGGCTTTGAAGGTAGAACTGGGTTTAAATTTCTCTTTTACTACTCAGTAGTTATAGGACTCTGGATAAAGTTGCAAGATTTATCTGGATCACAGTTCCCTCTCCTGCAACAATGGGGACAATTTCACCAACCTCACAGAGTTGTTGAAAGGATTAAGTTAAATAATGGATGAAAAAGTACCTTGCATAATAGTGGGTATTTAATAGATATTAGCTTCCTTTACCTTCTTCAGCCTTTCCCATAGCAATTAGGTAAAGAAAATGCTAAAAACCCCATGGAGAACTGAAAATAAATCCTCTAGCTGAAAACAAATCCTCTATGCTATGATCTGTTCAGTTGTTGTGTGTTTGTTTGTTTTTTAATACAATCTGAATCTTGGCTCCTGGCACAATTTTTTAAAACCTGGTATAGTATGTCTTCGAAGGCAAAGATTATCTTTGCAGCCCTAGCACACTGTCTTGCAAAAACTAGATAAATGCTTGTCGAAAGGAAGAATGTTGGATTTTAATGCAAGCAGAAGGTAATGCTCCCGTGGAGTATGTAAGAAGCATTTGAACAGAGAGGTCAGAATTACCGGAGTACAAGCGTTATGGTGATCTGTGTGGTCAGGGTCAAAGTAAGGTGATTACCTTCCTGGTAGTAAAGATGAACAGAAGGGAAATTTGCCTTTAGAGAAGTTTTGTAAAGTTTCTGTTTTAAATGAAAAATTTCTAAATTAAAGGTTACATTTTCTAAATGAAATTAATAGATAGGAGAAAATAGTCCAATGAGAAGAACTGGGATTTGTCAGGCCTCTGAGCCCAAGCTAAGCCATCATATCCCCTCTGACTTGCACGTATACATCCAGATCGCCTGAAGCAACTGAAGATCCACAAAAGTGAAAATAGCCTTAACTGATGACATTCCATCATTGTGATTTGTTTCTGCCCCACCCTAACTGATCAATGTACTTTGTAATCTCCCCCACCCTTAAGAAGGTTCTTTGTAATTCTCCCCACCCTTGAGAATGTACTTTGTGAGATCCACCCACTGTCTGCAAAACATTGCTCCTAACCCACCGCCTATCCCAAAACCTGTAAGAATTAATGATAATTCCCGCCCTTTGCTGACTCCTTTTTCGGATTCAGCCTGCCTGCACCCAGGTGAAATAAGCAGCCTTGTTGCTCACACAAAGCCTGTTTGGTGGTCTCTTCACGTGGATGCGTGAGACATTTAGTGCCGAAGACCCAGGTCAGAGGGACTTCTTTAGGAGACCAGTCCCCTGTCCTCACCCTCACTCTGTGAAGAGATCCACCTACGACCTCGGGTCCTCAGACCAACCAGCCCAAGGAACATCTCACCAATTTCAATCGGGTAAGCGGTCTTTTCACTCTCTTCTCCAGCCTCTCTTGCTACCCTTCAATCTTCCTCTCTTGCTACCCATCAATCTCCCTGTCCTTCCAATTCCAGTTCTTTTTCCTCTCTAGTAGAGATAAAGGAGGCACATTTTATCCGTGGACCCAAAACTCCGGCACCGGTCATGGACTCGGGAAGGCAGCCTTCCCTTGGTGTTTAATCATTGCGGGGACGCCTGCCTGATAATTCACCCACACTCCATTGGTGTCTGACCACCGCGGGGACGCCTGCCTTGGTCATTCACCCACATTCCCTTGGTGGCAAGTCAATTGCGGGGACACCTGCTTTGGCTGCTCACCCACATTACAGCCCAGGGCTGCTCCCCACCCCCTTCTCTGTGTCTCTACCCTTCTCTTTAAACTTGCCTCCTTCACTATGGGCAACCTTCCACCCTCCATTCCTCCTTCTTCTCCCTTAGCCTGTGTTCTCAAGAACTTAAAACCTCTTCAACTCACACCTGACCTAAAAGTTAGCCTTATTTTCTTCTGCAATCCCGCTTGGCCCCAATACAAACTTGACAGTAGTTTCAAGTGACCAGAGAATGGCACTTTCGATCTGTCCATCCTACAAGATCTAGATAATTTTTGTCGAAAAATGGGCAAATGGTCTGAGGTGCCTGACATCCAGGCATTCTTTTACACATTAGTCCCTCCCTAGTCTCTGCTCCCATGCGACTCATCCCACATCTTTCTTCTTTCTCTCCTGTCTGTTCCTTCAGTCTCACCCCAAGCTCTGAGTCTTTTGAATTCTCCTTTTCTACAGACTCATCTGATCTCTCCCCTTCTCCCCAGGCTGCTCCTCGCCAGGCTGAGCCAGGCCCCAATTTCTCCTCAGCCTCTGCTCCCCCACCCTATAATCTTTCTATCACCTCCCCTCCTCACACACTGTCTGGTTTACAGTTTTCGTTCAGCGACTAGCCCTCCCCCACCTGCCCAACAATTTCCTCTTAAAGAGGTGGCTGGAGCTAAAGGCATAGTCAGGGTACATGTGCCTATCAGACCTTTCCCAAATCAGCCAGCATTTAGGCTCTTTCTTGTCAGACCCTACTAAATATATACAGGAATTCAAATATCTAACTCTGTCCTATAATTTAACCTGGAGTGACTTAAATGTCATCCTGACTTCTACCCTCTCCCCAGATGAACGGGAAAGAGTTTTTTCTCTAGCCCAATCTCACGCTGATAACTGCCGGCTTCACGAGCCAGACCTCCAGGAAGCATTAGAGCAGTTCCCCAAGAGGACCCCCAGTGGAACTTTCAGGCAGATTCCCCAGGTATAGATAGGTGAGATTACATGGTTTCCTGCCTAGTTGAAGGGCTTAAAAAGGCAGCTTACGAAGCTGTTAATTATGACAAACTTAGAGAAACTACCCGAGGTAAAGACGAAAACCCAGCCCAGTTCATGGCCCGCTTGGCAGCAACCCTTAGACGCTTTACCGCCCTAGACCCAGAGGGGCCGGAAGGCGCCTTATTCTCAATATGCATTTTATCACCCAGTCAGCTCCTGATGTTAGAAAAAAGCTTCAAAAATTGGAATCCGGCCCTCAAACCCCACAACAGGAATTAATCAACCTCGCCTTCAAGGTGTACAATAATAGGAGGTAGCCAGACAGTAACACATTTCTGAGTTACAGCTACTTGCCTCTGCTGTAAGACAGCCCACAACCACGTCTCCAGCATACAAAACCTTCAGAACATCCAAGCCACAGCTCCCAGGGGCACCTTCAAAACATCCTTGTGGACCTTGCTTCGAATGCCAGAAGCCTGGCCACTGGGCCTCAGAATGCCCGCAGCCCGGGATTCCTCCTAAGCCGTGCCATCTGTGCGGGCCCCCAGTGGAGGTCGGACTGTCCGACTCACATCGCGGCCACTCCTAAAGCCCCTGGAGCCCAAACCCAATGTTCCTTGGCCAACTCCTTCCCAGATCTCCTCGGCTTAGCAGCTGAAGACTGACGCTGCCCAATCGCCTCGGAAGCCCCCTGGACCGTCACAGACACTGAGCTTCAGGTAACTCTTACAGTGGAGGGCAAGTCCATCCCCTTCTTAATCAATATGGAGGCTACCAATTCCACATTACCTTCTTTTCAAGGGCCTGTTTCCCTTGCCTCCATAACTGTTGTGGGTATTGACGGCCAGGCTTCTAAACCTCTTAAAACTCCCCAGCTCTGGTGCCAACTTGGACAACATTCCTTTATGCACTCCTTTTTAGTTATCCCCACCTGCCCAGTTCCCTTATTAGGTCCGAGGCATTTTAACTAAATTATATGCTTCCCTGACTATTCCTAGGCTACAGCCACACCTCATTCCTGCCCTTTTCCCCAGTTCAAAGCCTCCTTCGCGTCTTCCTCTCGTATCCCCCCACCTTAACCCACAAGTATGGGATACCTCTACTTTCTCCCTGGCAACCGATCACGAGCCCATTACTATCCCATTAAAATCTAATCACTCTTACCCCACTCAACACCAATATCCCATCCCACAGCATGCTTTAAAAGGATTAAAGCCTGTTATCACTCGCTTGTTACAGCATGGCCTTTTAAAGCCTATAAACTCTCCCTACAATTCCGCCATTTCACCTGTCCAAAAACCGGACAAGCCTTCCAGGTTGGTTCAGGATCTGCGCCTTATCAACCAAATTGTCTTGTCTATCCAGTCCGTGGTGCCAAAGCCATATACTCTCCTATCCTCAATGCCTCCCTCCACAACCCCTCCATAACCGATTATTCTGTTCTGGATCTCAAACATGCTTTCTTTACTATTCCTTTGCACCCTTCATCCCAGCCTCTCTTCGCTTTCACTTGGACTGACCCTGATGCCCATCAGCCTCAGCAACTTATCTGGGCTGTACTGCCACAAGGCTTCAAGGACAGCGCCCATTACTTCAGTCAAGCCCAAACTTCGTCTTCATCTGTTACCTATCTTGGCATAATTCTTAATGAAAACAATGTGCTCTCCCTGCTGATCGTGTCCAGCTAATCTCCCAAACCCCAACACCTTCTACAAAACAACTTCTTTCCTTCCTAGGCATGGTTAGGTACTTCCGCCTTTGGATACCTAGTTTTACCATCCTGACTAAACCATTTTATAAACTCACAAAAGCAAACCTAGCTGACCCCATAGATCCTAAATCCTTTCGCCACTCCTCTTTCCGTTCCTTAAAAACAGCCCTAGAAGCTGCCCCCACACAAGATCTCCCTAACTCATCCCAACCCTTTTCATAACACACAGCCAAAGTACAGGGCTGTGCCATCAAAATTCTTACACAACAGCCGGGACCACACCCTGTAGCCTTTCTGTCCAAACAACTTGACCTTACTGTTTTAGGCTGGCCATCATGTCTCCGTGTGGCAGCCGCCACTGCCCTAATACTTTTAGAGGCCCTCAAAATCACAAACTATGCTCAACTCACTCTCTACAGTTCTCATAACTTCCAAAATCTATTTTCTTCCTCACACCTGATGCATATACTTTCTGCCCCCCTCCACTACCTCTCAGCAAGCCAAACTCATTGCCTTAACTCGAGCCCTCACTCTTGCGAAGGGACTACATGTCAATATTTATACTGACTCTAAATAGGCCTTCCATATCCTACACCACCATGCTGTTATATGGGCTGAAAGAGGTTTCCTCACTATGCAAGGGTCCTCCATCATTAATGCCTCCTTAATAAAAACTCTTCTCAAGGCTGCTTTACTTCCAAAGGAAGCTGGAGTCATACACTGCAAGGGCCATCAAAAGGCATCAGATCTCATCACTCAGGGCAATGCTTATGCTGATATGGTAGCTAAAGAAGCAGCTAGCATTACAACTTCTGTCCCTCACGGCCAGTTTTTCTCCTTCTCATCGGTCACTCCCACCTACTCTCCCACTGAAACTTCAACCTACCAATCTCTTCCCACACAAGGCAAACGGTTCTTGGACCAAGGAAAATATCTCCTTTCAGCCTCACAGGCCCATTCTATTCTGTTGTCATTTCATAACCTCTTCCATGTGGGTTCCCGCCTCTTAGAACCTCTCATTTCCTTTCCATCATGGAAATCTATCCTAAAGGAAATCACTTCTCAGTGTTCCATTTGCTATTCTACTACTCCTCAGGGATTGTTCAGGCCCCCTCCCTTCCCTACATATCAAGCTTGGGGATTTGCCCCCGCCCAGGACTGGCAAATTGACTTTACTCACATGCCCCGAGTCAGGAAACTAAAATACCTCTTGGTCTGGGTAGACACTTTCACTGGATGGGTAGAGGCCTTTCCCACAGGGTCTGAGAAGGCCACTGCGGTCATTTCTTCCCTTCTGTCAGACATAATTCCTCAGTTTGGCCTTCCCACCTCTATACAGTCCAATAACGGACCAGCCTTTACTAGTGGAATCACCCAAGCAGTTTCTCAGGCTCTTGGTATTCAGTAAAACCTTCATACCCCTTACCGTCCTCAATCTTCAAGAAAGGTAGAATGGACTAACGGTCTTTTAAAAACACACCTCACCAAGCTCAGCTTCAAACTTAAAAAAGAGGACTCTGTCAAGAATAGAGCCCAAAAACTCACCAAACAAACAAGTAATTATGCTAAATCCCCTTGGACCCCTTTGGACACTCTCTAATTAGATGTCCTAGGTCCTCCCAATTCTTAGTCCTTTAATACCTGTTTTTCTCCTTCTCTTTTTCAGACCTTGTGTCTTCCGTTTAGTTTCTCAATTCATACAAAACCGCATCCAGGCCATCACCAATCATTCTATACGACCAATGTTTCTTCTAACAACCCCACAGTATCACCCCTTACCCCAAAACCGTTCTTCAGCTGAGTCTCTCCCACTGTAGGTTCCCACGCTGCCCCTAATCCCGCTCGAAGCAGTCCTGAGAAACATCTCCCATTATCTCTCCATACCACCCCCAAAATTTTTCGCTGCTCCAACACTTCACTATTTTGTTTTGCTTTTCTTATTAATATAAGAAGACAGGAATGTCAGGCCTCTGAGCCCAAGCTAAGCCATCCTATCCCCTGTGACCTGCATGCTTCAGGCAATCCAGATTGCCTGAAGCAACTGAAGATCCACAAAAAAAGTGAAAATAGCCTTAACTGATTTCATTCCACCATTGTGATTTGTTTCGCCCCACCCTAATTGATCAATGTACTTTGTAATTTCCCCCACCCTTAAGAAGGCTCTTTGTAATTCTCCCCACCCTTGAGAATGTACTTTGAGATCCACCCTGTCTGAAAAACATTGCTCCTAACTCCACCACCTATCCCAAAACCTATAAGAACTGATGATAATCCACCACCCTTTGCTGACTCCTTTTTCAGACTCAGCCTGCTTACACCCAGGTGAAATAAACAGCCTTGTTGCTCACACAAAGCCTGTTTGGTGGTCTCTTCACATGGACGTGTGAGACAGGATTACCAATCCTTTGTTAAACACACAGCCAGGACTGTACGTGCTTGGAAAGATGCGAGACTGGGAGGCAGTGGTCTGGCTAAAGGACGTTTGCTTTAAATATTCCCATAAATATTTGCTTCGAGTATTTGGAGACGGCATTCAGGTTCACAACCTGCCCAGCTTTCTGGATCATAACCACATTGAGATGCAAAGAATTTGAGCTTCTCCTTCCAATAAGAAAGAAAGAGAAAAAGATTAAGACATGAACTACCCTTTCTAGGCCATGGAAACTCAGAGTGAGATTTCTACTCCATCCTGCTGGACTTGGCTCTAAATCCCAGGCAAGGAGTTTGGCACAAAGCACTGCTCCCACTGTCCTGGCTTCAGCTGTGTGTAAAACAAGGTAAAAGCAGTGCCAAACACCACCAGGCATGGCTTTGCAATTCTATGCAGTAGAGGAGATACTGCACTCTAGGAAAGCTGGTTGGTCCAACTGAAAGCACTGCCAAGTTCTGATGACACCAGAATAGTCTGATGCCCAGGGGCTGCTGCCAGACAGAAGAGCATTCCTGAAATTACAGGTCTAAGTTGGTGGACTGACACAGGTTCGAGAACGACACAGCGAAGGTATAGTATGTTCTAGAAGCATGCTTTTGGCTGGGGCAAGAGCAACTGTGGATGAAAGAGCAGGTCCCCCTGCTTTTGTTTCCCGCCTCTCTTACAGCATCACAATCACTGCCTGTCACACCCAGTTACTGTCACCCAGAGTCACAAACACTGTTGGACAATCAGCAAATTATAGCCTACCACACCCAATAGTTAGGTGCAATCTAACACACGCCCCTGGGAACATTCACAAACTGTTCTACCTACCTGATTGCCAAAGACAGCCACGGAGCAGGCTGTTGAAACCTCATTAGCCCCGAACCAGACGGAAGCGATGCGGGAGGGCATGCCCAGGATGAAAACCTGGGCCACAGAGCAGATGAGCTGGCCCACCACGGTGACCGGAAAGAGATGCGGCTTCAGGCTGCCCAGCTTCACCCAGGCCCCCAGGCAGTTGAGAGCCGAGCCAGTGAGAGCAATGGTGCGCAGGCCGAACTTCTCCAGCAGCCAAGCCACTGGCAGGAGCAGAGGGATGTAAGTCAGCATGTAGCACATGGACAGCCAGTCAATGGCAAAGGCACTGACACCGTAGAAGTGCATGAAGATGTTATTGATGGAGCCGTACTGGATCCACTGAAAGGAGTTGCACATGGAGTAGCAGCTAAACACCAGGACCACGGCCCAACGGCGCCTGCTCACCTTGATCACGCTGAGGTCCTCAGGGCCCGAGCTACTGGGGTGAGCCAAGCCACTGGGTTGGGCTAAGGCACTGGGGTGGGCCGAACTGCTGGGGTGGACAGAGACGCTGGGGTTGATGGAGACGCTGGGATGGACCGAGACGCTGGGATGGACCGAGACGCTGGGGTCCGCTTGGAGTGCGGACTCCGGCACAGGGGTGTCATCGCTCTCTTCCTGGTTGGGACCTTCATTCACCATCGCCACAGTCTCCTCTGGAATCCTGGAGAAGTGGTGAGGACTCCGGCAGTCTTAAGGGACAGTGGCCTCTGCTGGTCTCTTAGAGTTGAAAGGACACTTGCCTATTCCAGAAGAAACAGAGACTAGAGGCTGCGTAAAAGCCTCAAGTGGGGCTTCCTGTGCTCACCTCCAAGCTCCTGCTCCCACTTTTGCTTGGGGCTCTCTGTTGCCACCCGCGGCGATCGCTGTCCCAAGGCCGGCCGCACACGCCGCAGCCGGCTCCGGACCGCTCCTGCCTTGGGTCTCCCCACGAGGCGTTCCTTGTGCAGGAAAAGTTCTCTCCTTGCGCAGCCACTTCGCCCGCAGAGTCCTCTCCCGGGCCAGCTTGGGGCCTCGCCCAGTCGGGCACACGTGACCGCCCCGCCCCCGTCCTGCCTGGCTTCTTCCGCCCCCAACCCCCCCGCCACCACTCCACCCCCGACCCAGTGTCTCTTGCCTTCTCGAGCCCGGTCCTCCGGGCAGAGCAGTTGTTTCGCCACAGCTTGCGGGATGCATTCCTCCCCCACGCCCCGGGCGCCATGGAAACCGCCCGGTTAACCCCCACCCTTTGCACTGCCCCTCATATTCATTTGCCACCCGCTATCAGCGGACCCTGCAAGAAGATCCGCCTTCCCGAAGTAATGCCCAAAATAGAGCCTCTCCGGTGCCTGTCCGCATGCCCTGCGCGCGTGCACCAAAGCCCGGCGCCACCTAAGTGTTCTGGGGAATTCAAGAGGGATTCCCCAACTTTCTCCCCCTTGGCTTAGGCTCCCAGCCCTTTGCTGAACTAAAGAGAGATTTGTAGATTTCCCGGGCTGGTTGCGCTCCTGGGTTAAAGGGGAGTTACAGAAAACTCGCTTTACTCGCTTCTTTCCCTGCGGACGTGGTTTTGTCTTGGGGAGGTTAGATTTGAACCTGTTATGTGGGGCTATTTTTCCTGATGGATTCTGGGCGAAGACCCTAGGGTGCGGGGGAGGGAAAGGAGAGTTTGAAGAAGCCGAAGAAGCTGTCCGCGGTTGTGTGATGGAACGCTTAGCACAGAGCTGGCTCCGGGCTTGGTCTTGGAAGCGGTCTTTGAACTCAAGCAGCCCTAGTCTGCCACCTGCCGGTCCTAGCCCATTTCAAAGGGCAAACCCTCGACTCGTTGCACTGACCTCTGTCCTTGGCGAGGGATCCTGGTAAGGAGCCCAAATTCTCCCTGAGTTCAAACACCAGCTTAGCTACAATGAGGTGCCACTGTAGACCAAGGAACTCCACCTCTCTGCGCTTCAGTTTCTTCATCTGTAAAATGGAAATGATGAAATAATAGTACCTACCTCACCGTGTTGTTCTGAGACTTGAATGAATTAATACACGAATGCACTTAGAAAATTCCTGCCACATAGTAAGCATTCCGCGAATGCTGGCTATCCTAGCAAAAAGCTAACATTTGTTGTACAGTGCTAAACAAATTGAATGCATTAGCTCATTTATGCATCACAAGAATTCTGTGATAAAGTTACTATTGCTGGCCTAAATTTTATAGACAAGAAAACCCAGACTCAGAGAAGTGAAGTAACTTCTTTCTGAAGGTCCCAGCTGGCAAGAAGAGCCATAATTCTCGTTCAAGTCTGTAATCATTCAAGCTGTAGCCTAGCTATTCAAGCACAGTCTGTGGTTAGCAGCGTGGGCACCTGTGGGAGCTTTTTAGAAGGCCAGAATCCCCTCCAGTGTTAAGGCCTTAAAAAACAAAACGGCAACCACAAAACAACCAAGAAGGTTGTCAGGCCCAACCTAGACCCACTGAATTGAAAGCTGCATTTTAACAAGATGCCCAGGAGATTCATTTGTTTACACATTAAATTTTGAGAGCTACTGGGCATCACTGCTTCTTTATTTTTTTTTTCTTTGTTAAACTTCAGACCAGAAAATGAATAACTTGAAGCTCTGGGAAGTGGCTCTCCATTTTGTCTGCACATTAGAATCATATGAAGAAACTCTTAATATCCCAAGTGTTCGGGCAACACCCCATTTAGCGATCTCCGAGGGTGGACCTGAACATCTGCATGTCACAAGCTCCGCTGGTCATCCAAACGTGCAGCCAAGTTAGAACCACTGATTCCCAGGAGAGAACTAGATTCAAATGATCACTCCCTGCTTGAAGGCACCTACTTTTTGGTAGAAACTATAGAGTCTTGGATTATAATGGAATATTTGGAGAGGGAGTTCAGACTCAGATCTAAGAATTTCTACAGTAATTTAACATCTCGTATTGTCACTATTCCTCCTGTGTTTCCCATCATTCTCCAGGGAGCACAGAACTCTGTTCTTTTAGAAGGCCTTCTGAGACCTCTCACTGCTTCTTTTCCCTCGGTCATCATGGGCCTCTTCCAAAACTCTTCATAATATATTCTTAACTTCATTTTACAGATAAGGAAACTGAGGCCTGGAGAGGCGGGTGTGTTACTCAGCGTCCTATAGTGAAATAGCATCAGAACAAGCAGCAATAAAATGGGTGCTCCTTCCACGTGGCCTTTCCCATGAGCTCTTCTGGGGCAGCCCTTCAGCTTGGTGAGAGATTCCAAGGGGTCTAACCTGGGATTCAAGTGAGATTTGGAATTGCTTTTGTGGTGGAACGAGCTGGATCTGTTGTGAGATCTGGGTTGGGTCTGCTTAGACTTGAAGCTCTGTTTTGTCATTCTTAGCTTTGGTATCTTGAGCAAGTCACTTGACCTCTCTATTCTTCAGTTTCTGAATCTATCAAATAAGGATTAAAAATACCTGCCTCCAGCCTGGCACGGTGGCTCACACTTGTAATCTCAGCACTTCGGGATGCCGAGATGGGTGGATCACTTGAGGTCAGGAGTTCAAGACCACCCTGGCCAACATGGTGAAACCCCGTCTCTACTAAAAATACAAAAATTAGCCAGGTGTGGTGGCACATGCCTGTAATCTCAGCTACTTGGGAGGCTGAGGCAGGAGAATCACTTGAACCTGGGAGGCAGAGGCTGCAGTGAGCTGAGATGGCACTACTGCATTCCAGCCTGAGAGACAGAGCGAGACTCTGTCTCAAAAACAAAAAAACAAAACAAACAAAAACCTGCCTCATAGAATTGCTGTGAGAATTAAACAAGCTAATATGCATAAACTGTTTTCAATAATAATGATCATATTCTGGGAGCCACCAGGGTAGGGATGACTCTTGGCTGATTCCTAATGTGGGGGGTAGGGTGTTGGGGTCATCTCTATAAATATTGGGTAGATACTACATAGAGAGAAATATTCTGTATTCATCCCATTGAAAAAACATGTATTGAGCAGCTTACTATGTAGCATATCTATCTTTATGATGTTCTTACTATGTAGCATATCTATCTTTATGATGTTCTATCTATCAGTACCTATAGGTACACTTTGAAGGGTAAGGAGAAATACATTTTAGGGATTGCTTCCTGAAAGGGGGCTCTGGTTCCTGGTTCCTGGCTCTATTCCAACTGACACCTTAGGAAGCTTGAGGGAACGAACCTCTGGCATTGAACTCAAGCTTGTGTGGCCTCTTGCAGAATGATAGTTAAGTCAGCCCACTGGAGGCTATCAGCAACTCCTGGATTCAAAGCCAAAACATCACCCTCTTATTTATAGCTTACTACTAGCCAAACAGAGCTATAGATTTAAGAGGTAAGGAGTTTGTTGAGTGCAGGGGAAGGCCAAATTTCTAACAGAATGAATCAGGTTGGGAGCCGGCATTATTCTTTCTTAAAAATATCAACACTTGGAATTTGTGAAAATGTTGCCCTTACAAGTTTTACATGCATAATTTATATGTGTGATACTACATGCTCATCAATATTCTGTTTGCCTTATCTCCCCCACTTCCCTCAGATTTCTAGCTGTCTCAGGACTTGTGGATATTTTTGTATATTTTGGAGTGTTTAGTGAGATAAACTATGTAACACACGCTCTCAATACGTATCTGTAGAATTGAGTTGTACTGCATATCACCATGAAATTTTACAAAACTGGAGACAAAGAGGAGATCCAACAGGATTTCAGAGATTTTAAAAAATCAGAAAAAGTTAAAAAAAAAAAACCAGATACAAAATATCAACACAGTTGCCTCAAGCCTGGAAATTTGAAGTCAGTGGAACAATGCCTTCTGAAGAAAAACCGTTTCTTACCTAGAATGCTATATCCAAACTACCAAAAAATCAGTTTGAGAAGAGAGTGAAACAACAAATGATACTGCCTTATCTTCTCTCTCAGGAAGCTGCTGAAGGATGTGCTCCACCAAAACAAGGAAGGAAACCTAGAGAGGGGAAGAGGTTAAGGCTGAGGAAACCGGGAATCCGCCACAAAAGGCAAACAATGGGAATCACCCAGCTAAAGGAAACTCCTGGGTAGACAGCTATCTACCAGGCATAAAAAGCAGTGTACTCGGCTGGTCGTGGTGGCTCATGCCTGTAATCCCAGCACTTTGGGAGGCTGAGGCGGGTGGATCACCTGAGGTCAGGAGTTCTAGATCGGCCTGGCCAACATGGTGAAACCCCATCTCTACTAAAAATACAAAAATTAGCCGGGCGTGGTGGCAGGCACCTGTAATCCCAGTTACTCAGGAGGCTGAGGCAGGAGAATCGCTTGAACCCAGGAGGCAGAGGTTGCAATGAGCCGAGATCGTGCCATCGCACTCCAGCTGGGGGGACAAGAGCAAGACTTTGTCCCCCCAAAAAAAAGAAAAAAGAAAAAAAAAGAAAGCAGCATACTCAGGCTGAAGCTGCTTTGAAGACTCCAAGGAAGAGTTCTTCAAGAAAGTCACACTGAAAGAATCATGTTTGAAAATATTGAGAGGTTTACACAATAGGGGGAAGATTAGGGGTTGGACTAATGATAAGTACCATAAATATAACTAAGTAAATGGGGAAAAGGAAGCATTATTAACTCCAGTGGAATAAACAAACTATGGAGGAAAAGGAAAAAATAATCATGATATACCCTAAGTGATTTGATTTGCATAGCATGAACACAATCCTAATAAAGTGAACACTGGGAGTTGATGTATCTAAAGCTATGATATAACACAGTTAGCAGGATGGGGGAGTGGGAAGCGGGCACCTGTGCAGGGTTGAGATGAGGGTGGGGTAAACAGTTAAACAAGGAGAATGGGGCCGGGCACGGTGGCTCACACCTGTAATCCCAGCCCTTTGGGATGCCGACGATGGTGGATTGCTTGAGCTCGGGAGTTCGAGACCAGGCTGGGGAACATAGCTAGACCCTGTCTCTATCAAAAGCAGAAACAAAAACCAAAAACTAAAAACAAGGAGAGCTGGTTTTCTTCCCTGGGGTTTTGGCAGAAGCACATTCCCTTCAAGGACAAACTTGGAGAATCTCTGAGCAGACCCCGGAGGAGAAGGAATCTAGACTCCAATCATGCGATTTGTCTGCCGTATAGAAAAGGCTATGGCATGCAAATGCCTAACATGGAAAAAGTCCGGAAGTGTTAATAAACCCGTGGCACTTACAGCTATGGTGGTTAAGTACCAAAAGAATTGAGAAGAGTTGGAAGTACTTGCCTCTGGAGCGCAGGAAAGGGGGGTACACAACTGATATGTTTCATACATGATTATTTTATTGTTTGAACTATGTATAACTAATATTTTTTCTTTTTTCTTTTTTTTGAGAAGGAGTCTTGCTCTGTCGCCCAGGCTGGAGTGCGGTGGTGCGATCTTGGCTTATTGCAACCTCTGCCTCCCAGGTTCAAGCGATTCTCCTGCCTCAGCCTCCCGAGTAGCTGAGACTACAGGCGCACGCTACCATGCCTGGCTAATTTTTTGTATTTCGTTGTAGAGACGGGGTTTCACTGTATTAGCCAGGATGGTCTTGATCTCCTGACCTCGTGATCTGCCTGCCTACCTCAGCCTCCCAAAGTGCTGGGATTACAGGCGTGAGCCACTGTGCCCAGCCAACTAATTTTTTTGAACTTAAAAAAAATCCTAAAATTAAAAAATGGAATCAAATTTAACCGAGCTCCAGCTGTTTCACTGGAGCCCATAGGTGATGTCTCAAAGTGTGGTCAACTTGTCCTAGAGTTTATACTGTTGGTGCTATGATGGACACCCAAGACTTCAACTCTGGAACCTCAGGGATGCCTCTTCAGCCAAGCTATGTCCTCCAAAGTCCATTAGGGCGTCTCCTCAGAGAAATTGTGTGTGTAGTCAGAGGACCTATTCCCCACATCCTAGTCTTGTTTGACCATTCCCTGGCCTTCTTTTTGCTTCTAACGTCTTTCATACTTATAGAGTCTGTGGGCTCTTATCCCTACAACTTACAACTCAACTTCCGTCCCATCATCCAAAGACCTGTGCCAAGGTCTACTTCTCTGGAGTTCTCTCTGTCGACAAAGCGCACCACTAGCTCCCAGTGAGCCAAGCCTGAAGACTAAGGATTCCCCAGATCCCCCTTCACTCACTCTCAGTGTCACAGATGCTTCTTTCCTTACAGTCTTCCCTCCTGTCCTTTCTCACTGCCACCACCCTGCTGCAGCCTCTCCTGGCTTCTCACCTCCAACCCACGGCTGCCTCCTCGTTGTTCTCGCTCCTTCCAGTTCAGCCGGATGTCGCCTCACAGGATTTTCCAGTTCTCTTCAGGTCACTCCCTGCCTTGAACCCTCCAGTGGCCACCAAAACAAGGAAGGAAACCTAGAGAGGGTGAGAGGTTAAGGCTGAGGAAACCAGGAATCTGCCACTAGAGGCAAGCACTCCTCAGCTCTGCACACAAGGTCTTTGTGATGTTGTTCTGGCCACATCTCCCACCACTGTCCACTCCCCACCTTTTGCTCCAGACAGGTGGAGCCACCTGCAGCTCCCCATAAGCGTGCTTCACAATGCAGGGCAAGCGTCCCCTCCTCCAGGAAGCCTTCCCCCATGCCCTAAGTGTGACTCAGAGATTTCTTTCCATCCCTGCATGTGCAGCTTTGTGGTAGCTCCTGTCACACAGTTTCATAAATGTTTGTTTACTTCTTCAAGTTAACGACTCAGTGTGCGCTCCTCAAGCTTAGAAATGATGGCCTATTCATCTTCAAATCCCAACCTCTAGTGTCGCGTCTGGCCCGCAGAAGGAAAATGAAGGCCTGACTGCATTGACTTTTTGGATGCATTTCCTAGATGAGTCCTATTTCTAGGTGGCCTCACAAGAAATAAAAACATGTCCAGCTTGTTCCGGATGCTCATATCTCCTTGGTTGATTGTGTCTTCCTTTCTCTTTTCTGGAATGTGTCCCCTGTGGTGTTTGGGCCCCACTGCCACACCTCACAGAGCCCATGGGTGGGAAAGTTGGGAGGGCATTCCTGTGCCATGGGGGAGTCTAGATTTCTTCTCCTCCAGGGCCCTCCCAGCTCAGAGTCTCCAAGTCTGTCCTAGAAGGGAATGTGCTCAGGGGCTGCTGAGGATTCAGAGAAGAAGAAGATCCATTTTTCTCAGACGAGAGTCTAGAAGAAAGGCCTCCTAGCTGGACATGTAGATGCTGGGCTCTGCCCGGGACACATGGTTTGAAATAGACATTTCAGTTCCCTGGAAGTACATGAGTACATCTGGAAAGGCCTCAGATGGTATCAATCCTCCTCTAAAGACAAGGTCCCTGTACGTGGGTCACATTTTGTATCCTCAGCTGCATGTCCTTGGGTGTGATCATGGGTGGCCACTGTGTTATTCTTCATACCTGTTCTATATTTTAAATGCTTCTTAATAATTAGAAAACCAAAAAAAAAAGTTGCCCCATAAATATGAGAAAGAGCTAACTAAAAAACATGAGTCAAAGAGGAAGGAGACATTAAAATGGCTTGTCTTTTTGCATAATCTATAGAAAGCCCGGAGGTGTGAGGCTCCCTTTTCATAATGGAATAGAGAAACGGGGGTAGCAGCAAGATTTGTTGATTGCCAGGGCAACAGTTAAAGGCACATGGCATGACAAAGCAGAGGGGTGCTGGCTGGGCAGGGTTATGCAATGCTGGAGCCACAGTGACAGAGAAAGGACACACAAAGTCATCTCAGCCAGCCCCTTGATGTACAGGGTATAATACCTGGGCCCAGGGGACTGTCTTAACAGAGTCATTCATTTACCCACCATTGATCTCCTGCAGGCCAGGCACTGTGCTGGGTGTAAAGGAAACAAATTCAACAAAGATGAGGCTCTTGCCCTCCAAGAATCCACAAAGTAGTGGTGAGACAGTTATGTGAGCAGATCATTGCCAGGTGGTACAATAAATGTGTGGTCCATGCTGGTTCATGGGACTCCCAAAGCTTAGAGTCAAGGGGGGCTTCTCAGAGAGATGCTAGGTCGGGATCTTGAGGGATAGATGAGACTTAGCCAGGCCCTGTGGCAGGTGCTGAAGATCCTAGGAGTGAGCAAAACAAACGTGGTCCCTCCCTACCTTCATGGAGCTTACAGTGTCCTTGAGAGGACAAACATCAATCAAACACTTACATACACACATAAGTAAAATTATAAGTGCTATGAGGGTTATTTGTAAGAATTTATATAGATGGAACAGATGAGTGGGATCTTAAGCAATACGTTTTTAAAAAGTTAGACTTATGGCTCATGCTTGTAATCCCAGGACTTTGGGAGACTGAGGGGGCTGGATCACCTGAGGCCAGGAGTTCGAGACCAGCCTGGCCAACATGGTGAAACTCGGTCTCTACTAAAAATACAAAAAAAATTAGCCATGCATGGTGGCAGGTGCCTGTAGTCCCAGCTACTTTGGAGGCTGAGGCAGGAGGATCGCTTGAACCTGGGAGGCAGAGGTTGCAGTGAGCCAAGAGCATGCCACTGCACTCCAGCCTGGGTGACAGAGTGACTCCATCTCAAAAAATAAAAATAAAAATAAAATAAAAGTGAGACTTAACTTGGTGAAAGAGGGGGGAAGGGCTTTCCAGGAAGAGGGAACAGAATGTGCAAGGCCCTGAACCAGGAGGGAGCAGGGCCCTTTTAAGCCACAAAGCCAATGAGGCTGGAGCAGAGTGAGGGTGAGAAGCAAAGCCAACGTGGTTGGAGAGAGAGGCAGCAGCCAGATTGCACGGGCCTTATTGAGGGCTTTTCTGTTTTTGTTTGTTAACTTTATCCTGGGAGCAAAGGGGAGCCGTTGGGAGGTTTTAAGCAGATGAAGGACATTGTCAGATTTGTCTCCTGTACAGACTGCTCCAGCTGGGCTTGTGGCAAATCCAGTTTGGGTGGGGATGGCCCTCTTAGGAGGCTGCTATGGTCACTCAGGTGAGAATGGAATTTGTGAACTGAATGAGGGCAATGGCAAGACAATGGAGAGAAGTGAGCAGGGGTAGATGGGGGTGGACTAGACTGGAATTGCAGGAGGATGGAGAGGGAGGGGTCAGGAGAATGCCCTGCCTGGGTTTCAGATGTGACCAGCTGGGCAGATGGAGCTGCCATCTGGAGGGAGAATCCCAGCTTCGACATTGAGATCTTCCGCAGAGGGAAGCGAGGCTGTCAAGGACAGGTGCCTGTGTACCCGTGCCTCCTGCTCTTCTCTTCCTCCTCATTCCTTTATTCTTCCTTCTACCCCTTCCCTACAGTGACCTCTGTCACCACAAGATCAAGAGGCCAGAGAACCTACTTCCAATTCAGAGTGTGAATTCCCATGAAAATCCAATCATCAAATTCTATGGAAAGTAAGGCGTCCTGAGTTCCTCACCTCATCTTTCACTCCTTGGCATGGTGCCTCCTCAAGGTTACAGGTAGGACACTTGGCTCAGGTTCCCCTGAATTCTGTGAACAGAAGAATTAGAAATAAACAAACAATTCCAAAATAAAACCCAGATAGTTATGGGTTCCCTTTAAGCTTAAGTCAGTAGTTGTGTGAAGTCCCCCTGATGCCATCAGCCTCCCTGGGCCCCGAGTAGTCCCTGAAAGTGTGTTCTAGTGTCTCAGATGAGAAAACCGAAAGTGCTGACTGTACCCCCAGGTTTTTTTTTTCTTTTCACTGCTGAGTTGATTGCAAATGACAGACGCTCAGCTTTCATCAGCCTAAGCTCAGAGATAGTACATCTGAAGAACATCGGCGGCTGGGGGAGGTGAGGTTCTCAGAGACCTCAAGAGGAGTTGGTGGTCAAGTAGCAGAAGAGCAGAGAGAACCAAGGACTGCAACACATTCAGGATGCTCGGCTTCTCCCATGTTCCCTGCAGGCCAGCTTGCATTTTCTCTCTTCCTAAAGGCTAGTTTCTCCATTTGTCAGAAAACATGGCAGCCAGCAGCCCTGGCATTACACCTCATGACAGCTTCAGCTGCCCGAGAGAAGCTGCCCTTTGTGTCTTAAATACAAACTCCCAGATGCCCATTCCCAGCCTCATCAACCATGACCGTGGTGGCAAAGGCCGCATAAGAACAGGGCAGCTCCCCAGGGGGATCCGTATTGGAGTGGAGGAGGGGCAGTTCCCAGAAGGAGAGGGGCAACTAACCAGGCAGATAAACAATCAATGCCTTCCACCCGCCCCAAGTGCCTTTAGAAACAGAGAACCTAACTCCCTACCCTCTCAGTGCTTGAAAGCCCCATCCACCTGAATAAGGCCCATCCCATTGGCCAGAGTAGTGACTCGGGAGCACCACCACCTTAGAGGGCTTCCTGTGTCTGTGCAATTTCTCGTGCACCATAATCGATGTGATTCTGCAGACGACTCTAAAATCCAAAACCCAGCATTGTGTCTTCGCGGTTATTTCTTGCTTTTACAGATCTCTGTATGACAGTTTGCCTTTCTGGTCTTCCTTGAGTTTTTTTTCATTCCTTAACATGCTTCTTAGTCACCAAGGCTCCCAGGAACTCTATCTCCCCAATAGGGTAGTAGAATATGTTTCTGTCTTTCTGACCTCCAAAGTCCTAGGTGGACTGATGTTCCTTGCTTTAGAGCAGGAGTGTATACATAGATGACTTCAGGTGGCATGTGGGCGACAGAGAAGCTGCCAGCAGAGACCATCATACTCACTGTCCAGTCCCCAGCCAGCCCTGCCTGGGGTGGTGGGACACCCAACCAGCACCCACTCCGTTCCTCACTCCCCTTCCCTCCAAACCCGTTTCTGGCTCACACAGGGCGGTCCCTCCTCGACACCCTCACCCACCAGAGTCTCCACTTTGTCACGGGCCTGCCCCCAGCCCTGCTCCCCTTCACTCTTTTTTTTTCTCTTGTTGAGACAGAATCTTGCTCTGTAGCCCAGGCTAGTAGTTAGTCATCCAGGCTCACTGCAGCCTCGCCCTCTCAGGCTCAAGCAATCCTCCCAGCTCAGCCTCCTAAGTAGCTGGGACAACAGGAGCATGTCACCACACCAGGCTAATTTTTATAATATTTTTTGTAGAGATGGGATCTCACTATGTTCCTCAGGCTGGTCTTGAACTCCTGGGCTCAAGGGATCTTCCCGCCTCGGCCTTCCAAAGTGCTTCACTGTTTTTGTTTGTTTGTTTGTTTGTTTTTGAGACGGAGTCTTGCTCTGTCACCCAGGCTGGAGTGCAGTGGCGCAGTCTCGGCTCACTGCAAGCTCCACCTCCCAGGTTCACACCATTCTCCTGCCCCAGCCTCCCGAGTAGCTGGGACTACAGTTGCCCGCCACCACGCCAGGCTAATTTTTTATATTTTTTTTAGTAGGGACTGGGTTTCACCGTGTTAGCCAGGATGGTCTCGATCTCCTGACCTCGTGATCCTCCCGCCTTGCCCTCCCAAAGTGCTGGGATTACAGGCGTGAGCCACCGCGCCCGGCCGTGCTTCACTCTTTAGGGTCCTTTTCTGCGCTGTGGCTCTCGCTGTACCCAACTCCTCAGTACTCCTTCCCTAAACTGCATCCCACTTTTGTTCCCCCACACCTCCTCTGGTTCCCCTGGTTCTGCCCTGAGGCTGTGCCCTCTGTCTCAGTCACATCCTCGCCTCACCTGAACCCCACACGCACCAAAAACACGTCACAATTAGCTCCCTCACCCCACTCTCCACTCCCAGTCTCCCCAGGCCTGGAAGTCCCATGAGATTCCCAGAGTCCTAGGACCTCACCTACTCCCCCTTCCTCCTTCCCTCTGCTCAGCCCCTTGGGACCGGGACTCCCTCACCCAGTGGGCGGCTCCTGCCTTCCTCTCCCTTCAGGCCTCTGCCTTCGACCTCTGCACGCGGCCATTTCTTGGGGGCCAGGTTTGTCCTGCTTGTCACACCTGTCTGTTGGTCTTCCTTAGCTCCTAGTATCCTTTTGAAATGCATGTATTCAAGTCATAAAAATGAGTCCATTTTAAAAGCTGAGTAAAAAATAGTACAGATAGTTTATAGATGCAGCAGAAGCAGTGGTGGTAGCCTGTGGGTGGTGATGCTGAGCTAGAGGAGTGGGTATAACCCCAGACAGAAAACAGTCACTGGGCTCACGCGATGGCAACGGCTGTGTGTCACCTAATGTCATGTGTTAGTATGGCTCAGCTCTGCCTGTGAATCAGATAACCACAACAAACACAAAAGTACTTACATAACCTGTTTCCATCTCTTCACAGTCCTGGTGGCACACAAGCTGGGACTCAGTGTCACCTCTGTGCCTGGGCCCCAATACCAAGCAAGGAGGTGTTTCCCTCTGTGTCCCAGACACGCACATCCTTTAGAAGCTGACATGTTCCCACCCTCTCCATGGCTATTTAAAGCCTGCTCCCTACTGCAGGAAAAAGATAGGCAGAATGAAAGAAGAAAGAAAGGAAGAAAGAAAGACAGAGAGAAAGAGAGAGAAAGGAGGGAAGGAAGGAAGGAAGGAAGGGGAAAGAAGGAAGGAAGACCTGCTCCTGACCAATGTGTTGGGAAAGTTTGGGGGCACCAGAAAGAATTATGGGGTCTTGACATCATGCATTTCCTTCCATCCCCTTTGCCAAAGTTAGTGAGGGATGAGGAGGAGGCAGGATGGGGGTGGGGTGGTGCTGGGGGTGGTGACACCCATTCATTAATTGATTCACTCAACATATTGTTAATTAGCCAGGCATGGTGGTGCATGCCTGTGGTCCTGGCTACTTGGGAGGCTGAGATGGGAGGATCACCTGAGCCTGGAAAGTTGAGGCTGCAGTGAGACATGATCACACCACTGCACTCCAGCCTAAGCAACAGAGCAAAGACCCTGTCTCAAAAATAAACACATAAATGTTAATAAAAACATATTGTTAGCCCTATGTGAAAGTGCTGCTCTAAACACAGGGGAAATAATGGTGAACATCTTGACAAGGTCCTGAGCCTCTTGAAGTTTATAATCCTGTGGAGAAGACAGTCTATGGATAAACAAGTGTCATAATATCATGTGAGGTAGCACAATGAAGAGTGAGATGGTGGTTAGGGAAAAAACATTTGAGCAGAAGGGAGGAAATGGATATCTGGGGCAAGAGTGTTCCGGGCACAGGGAACAGCATGTGCAAAGGCTCTGAGGTAGGAACGTGCTTGGTGTGGCCAGACACAGCGGGGATCCCAGTGTGGTTGGAGCAGAGAGACAGAACAGGGGGCTGGTGGGAGAAGGGCTCAGACAGGTAAGTGGGGGTCAAATCTTGCAGGGCCTTGTGGGCTCTGATTAGGATGTGGACACTGAGTGAGGCCAGAAGCCCTGAAGGAGTTTTAAGCAGAGGAGTGATGTGGCGGACTTGCGCTATAAAGGAATCTCTCTGGCTGCTATGTGGAGTAGACAAAGAGGCAGTTAGGAGGCTGCTGTGGTTTCCTGGCAAAGCCTGGAGGAAAGGTCTGGGGGTGCTGGCAGGTAGGCGGGTAGGGCTGTGCCAGATGATTGCAGTGGGTCACCAGCTGTGAAAAATGGGGGATTCCTTCCGTGAAGTAGGACACAGCACCAGAACTTTTGGAGGTGGTGACGTTAGGAAGAGGTAGGACCATCTTTCTAGTTACTTGGGGACCTCACTAGGCTCCTCAGGCCAGGAGATAGAATCTCCATGCTTCATGCTGGCCACCCTGGGCACATGCTTTTCCTTCTGCCTGGAATGCTCTTCCCTGCCTTCCTCATCTGTTTCACTCTACTCCTCCTTCAAGGCTCAGTTGAAATGTCACTTCCTTCCTGAAATCGGTCACATGTTCTGAGTGTATGTGCTCCTGATGCTTCTTTTGCATGGCACTTACCACAATTGTCATTATTTAATTAGGATAATTAGGGCGCAGTGGTTCACACCTGTAATTCCAGCGCTTTGGGAGGCAGAGGCGGGTGGATCACTTGAGGTCAGGAGTTCGAGACCAGCCTGGCTAACATAGTGAAACCTCATCTTTACTAAAAATACAAAAATTAACTGAGCATGGTGGTGCACGTCTGTAATCCCAGCTGCTCGGGAGGCTGAGGCAGGAGAATTGCTTGAACCCAAGAGGCGGAGGTTGCAGTAAGCCAAGACGGCACCACTGCACTCCAGCCTGGTGACAGAGTGATACTCTGTTTCAATAAATTAAAAAATAAAAATAGAATAATTAGTTCTTTGGTGTTTGTTTCCCCTGGCAGACTGTAGGCTCCATGAGGGCAGGTGCTGGGTCTGCTTTCTTCTTCGCCCCTTGGTTACTCCCTAGCAGAGTGTCTCACACAAGTCAGTGCTCAATACATTTTGTTGAATGAATGAATCAATAAGCAAATGGAATGGACAGCAGGTGCAAGAGAAGCATCAGGGGAGGCAAGCTGATTCCTAAGAGCTGCAAAGGAATAGGGCTCATTTCAACTTAGAATCCAAACCAAGGCACTTGCAGGCACCTGGTGGGTGATAAATACCTTACATCATAGGAACAAAGTTCTAAGAATAGGATTTCAGTCATCAGTCAAGGTATAAAAGAGGTTATTTGTTTTGGGAAAGCAGGCAGAAAGGTTCATATGTCCTGAGGATCATATTCCCTGGCTGCCAGTCATCTCACACAGGTTTGCCTAATCCTGCATTTGCGGCCCTCAGAGGACACGTGGCTACTTTAGCATGAAAGCGTTTATTAAACAGACATTTTTATTTATTTGTTTGCTGTTGAAGCGTTTCAAGCATTTATTAAAGAGGCAGGATCTTGCTCTGTCACCTGTGCTGGAGTGCAGTGGTATCATCATAGCTCACTGCAGCCTTGAACTCCTGAGCTCAAGAAATCCTCCCAATTTAGCCTCCTGAGTAGCTAGGACTATAAGAATGCACCACATACAGCTAATTTTTTTTAACTTTCTTCTTGTAAAGACGGAGTCTCACTATGTTGCCCAGGCTGGTTTCCAATTCCTGAACTCAAAACAATCCAACCACCTTGGCTTCGCAATGTGCTAGGATTACAGGTGTGAGCAACCGCACCTATAATCAGAAGGACATCTTTAGAGTACATCATTTAAAAAATCTATTAAGCTTTCAACCTTTTAAAAAATGTTATCAAGTAATGTACATAACATAAATCTTCATCCAGTTCCCGAACCTCTTTGCATCCTTCGTCTCCACTCCTTCCTGCTCACCATTAATGACACATTGTGTCAGAGTGGACAGATGGAAACGGCCCGAGTCAAAGATTCTGCCTCACGTGGAGTAGGCTTTCTCCTGGGAGTGTGAGGCCCTCCTGGCTCACCACACTGTGGCGACCTGGGAGCTTCTGCACTCCAATCCAATGCCGATGTCCTGGGCCATGCTTGCTACCAGCAGCTCTGTTTCTTGAGTCTTGGGTGACTGCTGTGTTGACTGATGAAGAGTTTTTATCTAAGGGTCTACGAATGGGTTTCAGAATCCTGCAAACCCCTGAAATCATATCATCCAAATTGATTAATACACATGTGTTTTGGCTGGGCATGGTGGATCACACCTGTAATCTCAGCACTTTGGGAGGCTGAAGGGGGTGGATCACCTGAGGTCAAGAGTTTGAGACCAGCCTGACCAACATGGGGAGACCCTGTTTCTACTAAAAATACAAATTAAATTAGCCAGGCGTGGTGGTGCATGCCTGTAATCCCAGCTACTTGGGAAGCTGAGGCAGGAGAATCACTTGAACCTAGGAGGTGGAGGTCGCAGTGGGCTGAGATCACGCCATTGTGCTCCAGCCTGGGCAACAAGAATGAAACTCTGTCTCGAAAAAAAAAAAAAAAGAAAGAAAGAAAGAAAAAAGAAACATGTTTTATAAAGGGAGAGGCGGGGGAGTCCACAGTTTCATCAGATAGTCAAAGCAGCCCAATGACCCCCAGATGAAATAAATCACGGTTTAGATGGATAATCTATACATTTCAGGTTTAAAAATCTACTTCGAGCTTGTCACCTAGTATCTGCCCTGACTATATACACTGTGCTAGGTGCAGATCTGACTGTTGTGTTTATTTCATCACTATGGGTAACTAAAGTGGATTTCCTGACACAAATTATGCAGGACTAGACAGAGACATTACTAGATTAATTGTGGACAGGGTGAGGCACATATTTGGTGAGACCACTTTGCCTTCTAGAGGTGACCCTTTATTCTCCATTTGCAACAAGATTCTGAGAGCCAGGTCTGAATGAAAAATTTTAACCCGTGGCTTCTATGTTCCAGGTGATCTTGGACTTAGGAGAAGAGAGAAGACGCTGAAGGAGGTGTGGAAAGCTCAGGGAGTGGGAATGGCTTTCCTTATCTGCCCATCGATCATGTCCGTGCTTCAGTTGAGACTGAAGTCACTTGGCAGCCACACGTTTTAGACTGAGGTAACTCCCCACTGCCATAAAGGTCAAGAAAGCCACTGTGCTGACACAGGTCCTCCCCTGACAGCCTGTTCCACAGCGACCCTTGAGTCATCATGTCTGGATGACTAGGCTGACAAAAACAAGGTTTCACAGGGTGAGTTGAATTGTGGGGGAGCGGGGCACAGCACAGGGCAGCGGAGTAGGAAGGGCACTGCACTTGGAGTCTGAAGATCAGGGCTGAAGGCCTTGCTCAGTGAGCTTGGGCAACATGTGTTGGTGTTTGGGCTTCACATAAAATTAGACACTATTCACAATAGCAAAGAGACGGAACCCATCTAAGTTCCCATCAGCTATAGACTGAATAAAGAAAATGTGGTACATATACACCATGGAATACTATGCTGCCATAAAAAGGAACAAGATCATGTCCTTTGCAGCAACATGGATGGAGCTGGAGACCATTACCCTGAGCGAACTAACACAGAAATGGAAAAACAAATACTGCATATTCTCACTTGTAAGTGGGAGCTAAGGACACAAAGATAAGACAAACAGACACTGGAGCCTACTCGAGGGTGGAGGGCAGGAAGAGGGTGAAGACTGAAAAACTACCTATCAGGTATTAGGTACTACGTGTATTACCCGGGTGATGAAATAATCTATACACCAAACCCCCGTGACATGCAATTTACCTATGTAACAAGCCTGCACATGTACCCCTGAATCTAAAATAAAAGGAAAAAAGATAGGGCAAAAAGGAAATGAGAGGCTGCTATTAACATGTTACCGGGGAGCTAGCAGGTATTCAATGATTGGGACTGTGCAGGTACAACGTAGTTATCACCCTAAAACAGGATGTAGCCAACATCCTGTTCACGGCTACCCGGAGTTTCACAGTAAAATATCTGCAGAGCTTGTGTTTGGAAACCAGGTTGATGCCCAAATCTGTGCAGATTTGCATTCCTGGTCACTCACCCAAACATCTCTTCAGAGCTATGCCCTAGGATAGAGTGAGGAAGCTGAATGAGGCGCCAGCTTGCATCTAGAGGTCAATTCTCTGTATTCAAGCTTCTGCCCAAACAAGTGATGGTTGGCTGCCATGGTTCAGGACTCTCTCAAGCTGGGAAAGGAGGATGCAGGAGGGAGGGGGAACGGAGGAGAGGGAGGAAAGTTGATCTCTGCAGTTCTCTGTCACTAGGTGGCAGCACCAACCCGGGACCGCTGTCCCAATGGTCCTGGCTGTAATCCTGGAATGTGGGGAGTTCCCCAGGTGCGCTTGCGCTTGCTATATATAGCTCCAACTTTGCAAGCAGCCAAAGAGAGGTTGAGTCCCATCTCCACGTTTAACTGTGTGACCTTGGGCAAACCATTTAGCCTCTTCGGAGTCTTTCTTTATCTGTAAAATGGGGATAATAATCTTTCCTAAAATAATAGAGTGAACAGAAAATGAGATCATAAATGGCAGCCAGTATCATCCCTGCCCCTAGCAAGATGACCCCTCACTCTTTCATACATCACCTTTATTTTGCACTTTTCTTTTCTTTCAAGGGTGCCCCTAATGCTTATTTTAAATGAGCATATGTAGATGAACACTTTGGGGTGGGGGAGTGAGGCGGCAGGAGGAATGGTCCATGGTGTGATTTTTTTTTTAGAACAGACCCAACTTTTTAATCTTCCTTCCCCTCCTTGCACCCATTCTCTTCCTCTTCATTTTCTTTCTTCTATCTTGGGATTTTTATTTACAAATATGTTAATCATCTGCTCTGTGCAAACCTCTGGCGAGGCAGAGACAGGTGGGGAAGAAGAGGGAGAGGCGAGGAGAATTACAAGAACACACTGGAGAGTCCCTCCCTCCAAGACCCCCACAGTCCTGTAGGTGCTAAGCTGATAGCGAGATGGTGCGCACCGGTGCAGTTGAACTGGCTGTTGAAATATTAAAATATGTACATCTGGCTGACTGATAGCCCCTACCCTAGTGCCCCTCCATGCAACAACGCAGACGCATGCCTTCACCCTGCTCCAGCTCCGACCCCATTCTGACTGCCAGTGCCTGGCCTGGATTTTGAATATTGCCTTTTAGCTGATGGGCTGAGCTCCTCATAGAATGGACTGAAGAGGATGGGGAGTGAAGCCTGGAGGCTGAGTTGCAACTCCCAGTGATGGTTTTCAAATTAGAGCCTGGGGTTCCTTCCAGAAGCAGTAATGGGTAGTATCCAGGTTGGGCAATCCAGAGGCTGGTGTGGTTCTGGCTGCATGCCCAGTTTCTGGTGGAGCACAGAACACCCTCAAACCCTCTCAGAAAGCAGTCTACTCCTGTTAGCCCCTGAGAATTAGGATGCAGTGCCCTGCCCCCTCGCCCCCTCTCTGGGAAACCCAGGTACAATGAGTCACCATTTTTTTGGTTTCACAATAGAAGCTTACTCTGGTTGACATCAGCAGTAAATGAATGTATTGGAAGGATGTATGTGGCTCACAGAATTCAAAAGAAGCCCAGAGAACAAGGCCCAGAACAAGGCAGAAGCCAGGACAATTCTCCACCACAGGAATTCTCTCTCTGGCCAGGGCTTCACAGTTAGAGTAGAGGGGCTCCAAACATCTTCTGGGTCTTTTCTTTGCTCTGCTCCAAAGCGAGATTCCCAGTAGTCTGATTGGCCCAGTCTGGGTGTTTGGTTGTATCTTGGCCAGATAAGGCAGAGAAGACACCTTGATTGACAGCTCTACACATAGAAAGGAAATGCAGATGCTTTGTCAGAAGAAGGAGTAATAGAGCCGGGGCGCAGTGGCTCACGCTTATAATACCAGCATTTTGAGAGGCCTAGGCGGGTGGATCACTTGAGGTCAGGAGTTCAAGACCAGCCTGGCCAACATGGTGAAACCCCATCTCTATTAAAGATATAAAAATTAACCAGGCGTGATGGCATGCACCTGTAATCCCAGCCACTCAGGAGGCTGAGGCAGAAGAATCACTTGAACCCGGGAGTTGGAGGTTGCAGTGAGCCGAGATTACTCCACTGCACTCTAGCCTGGGTGACAGAGTGAGACTCCATCTCGAAGAAGGAGAAAGAGGAGGAGGAGGAGGAGAAAGGGGAGGAGGAGGAGGAGAAAGGGGAGGAGGAGGAGGAGGAGAAAGGGGAGGAGGAGGAGGACGAAGAGGAGGAGGAGGAGAAGAAGGAGAAGGAGAAGAAATGGATTCTGGGTAGCAAAAAAAAAAGTGTGTGGGGGTCACTGTAATCAGGTGCATCTCAGCTCTAGGTCACAATTCCGTGACATCTTGCCTTCAGCCCCAGGTTTTAGACCCAGACAGAACTAGATCCCCATTATAGTAGTGCAGTGACCTTCCTGAGGCCACCAGATCATCCCAGTCAGTCCTGCTTCCTGGGCATTTAGGGCTCTTATGGACTTGTTCCCCCACCCCCTGGGGATAAACAATGAGACACAAACCTTTGAGGGAGCCATAGGTAATTTAGTCACAGTCCAAACTCAAAATTCTCAACCTGAAGTAGACAAGGCTTGAGAATATATGAATGAATGAATTATTTATATTTATGATTAATTAATTCATTTATCAAACCTATAAATATCACATATCTGCTCTGCTGGGCACTAGGAATATAGCAGTAAACAAGACACAGATAGTCTCTGCCCTCACTCATGGGTTAGTGAATGGCCTATCTGGACAGCCATTTAACTGTCCACCATGAGTCACCACTGGGGGTTTTGGGCACGATGTAAGTAGATATCTGGTCTCTGTCATCTTCTCTCAATGATTGCTGTGGTTTAAATGTCTCCTCCAAAACTCGTGTTGAAATTTAATTGCCATTGTAACAGAGTTGAGAAGCGGGGCCTTTAAGAAGTGATTCGGTCATGAGGACAGAGCCCTCATGGATTAATGGGTCCCTCGATTAATGTCATTGTCACAGAAGCGGGTTTATCTTTGGAGTGGGTTCCCAATAAAAAAGACGAGTTTGGCTCACTTCCCTTTCTGTCTCATGTGCTTGCTTCCACCTTCCACCCTTCTGCCATGGGATAACACTTGCCAGATGCTGGCGCCATGCTCTTGGATTTCCCAGCCTCCAGAACTATGAGAAATAATTTTTTTTCCCTACAAATTACCCAAGCTGGGCATGGTGATTCACACCTGTAATCCCAGCAACTCAGGAGGCTGAGGCAGGAGGATCACTTGAGGTTAGGAGTTCAACACTAGCCTGGGCAATGTAGTGAAACTTCATCTCTAAAAAAAAAAAAAAAAATTTAATTAGCTGGGTGTGGTGGCATGTGTAGTCCCAGTTACTTGGAAGGCTGAGGAAGGAGGATCCCTTGAGCCCAGGAGTTCGAGGCTGCAGTGAGTTATAATCATGCCACTGCACTCCAGGCTGGGTGACAAAGTGAAACTCTCTCTCTCTGCTCCCTGAATTTCAGCACAGTGCCTCTCAGCCCTCCCAGCTGTGGCTCAAGCAGCCTGGGTGCTCCAGAAAGAATAGGTGGTAAACCTTGATGGCAAACATTTGGTGTTAAGTCTGCAAGGATGCAAAATGCAAGGGCTATAGAAGCATGGCTTCCTCTGCTTAGATTTCAAAGGATGTCATGGATCACCTGGAAGCTCAAGTAGAAATCTGCTTCAGGGGAACGGTCACCTCAGAGAGTCCCCACTAGGGCAATCCCAAGTGAAAATGTGGGGTTGGAGCCACTTCGGTTTGAATGTGCCCTCCAAAACTCATACTGAAATTTAATTGCCATTGAAACAGTGTTGAGAGGCAGGACCTTTAAGAGGTGATTAGCTCATGAGGGCTCCACTCTCATGAATAGATTAACGCCATTATCACAGGAATGAGTTGGTTGTTGCAGGAGTGGGTTCCTGATAAAAAGGTGGAGTTTGGTCTGCTCCCCTCTCTGTCTCATGTGCTCACTTCTGCCTTCCACCCTTCTGCCATGGGATGACCCTGGCCAGATACTGGTGCCATGCTCTTGGACTGGCCAGCCTCCAGAGTTGTGAGAAATAAATTTCATTTCTTTGTAAATTACTGAGTCTGTGGTATTCAATTACAGCAGTACGTAGGTTGTGTTCGTGTTTGTAGGGTGTAGAGGCATGAACCACCAGCAAGGCAGGCCAACCAGCTTCCATTACCATGGAAGCAGGATTTGGAGTAATAGAAAATAGGCGATGAGGGTGGACTGGGGCTAATCTATTTCTACAGGGCCTTGTGCAGGATTCCAACTTGCTTTTACTTTGATCCTGGTCTTTCCCTCTGTCTAATAGGTGACAGCTAGACACAGACTAAAAGCTAGATAACACTGTGACTGAGGAGACACAGTTCCCTGCCCTCGCCTCTTCCAGCCCCACCTGGGACTCTATCCCTAATCTCTACCATCTTCACAAGAATACATGCCTTCCCTTGATTCCTGCTCTTAAAATATCTGATTGATTCTTACTTTTTATATGTTAACTGAATATTTATTTTGTCATTTGTATTCCATCGTCAGAATAATAATTGGCTTGGATTTTACATTCCTAGAAGGCAGGCACTGTGTTCCATCCATCCATCCATTTATTCATTCAGCCAATGAATATTTATTGAATTTCTACTCTGTGGTAGGCTCTTTGCTACTGTGCAAGGAGCTGAGAATACAATGGTGAGCAAAACATTGGCAATCCCTGACATTATAGAATGGATGGTCCAGTCACAGAGACAAATGTTAACCAAATAACCACATAGATAAATGTAAATTTTCAGTCTGTGTTAATGGGTATAAAGGAAGGGCATGAGGTGCTATGAAACTATTTGAAATTGCAGTTCTGATCTAGCCTGGGAATCAAGCAAAATTTCCCCAAGCTGGTATTTGACAAAAGGTAGGAATGAATGAGCTAGAAGGGTAAGAGCATTTCAGTTAGGGCTGAGCAGAATGAGCAAGGCTCTTGGGCTGGAGGGAGCACGCAGAGATTTGGGGAAGGGACAGATGCCAGTGCAGAGGAAAAGAGGGTGATATGAAGTGAGCTGGGGGACAGAGGGTGCAAGGTCTCCAGCGCCCCCACTAAGAATTGAGTCTTCATCATATAATCACCCCGAGTAACTCATAAACCCCAATCACACTGTGCACCAGTAGTCAATGGATAACATTTTATGTGAATAATGCTGACTTCACTTAGAGAAGATGTGCTAATGGTGGTTGGGGTGGAGAGGATTGACGTGGTGCTAATGTGACTCGCAATCTAATTTCACAGCTCCCATGGCCCAGATATGAAGAGCTGATCCCTAGGAATGGGTACCTATGTGTATGGCTGCAAGTTGAAAGATGATTGGCAAAGTTTAGTATCAGTATCTTCACATGCCACAAGATAGAGAAAGAAGATAAGATGCTTTTGGCTGGGTGCAGTGACTCACACCTGCAATCCCAGCACTTTGGGAGGCCAAGGCAGGTGGATCACTTGAGTCCAGGAGTTCAAGACAAGACTGAGCAACATGGTGAAACCCTATCTCTATTGAAAACACACACACACACACACACACACACACACACAAAATTAGCCAGGCATGGTGGCACTCACTGGTAGTCCCAGCTATTCAGGAGGTTGAGGTGGTAGGATTGCTTGAGCCCAGGAGTTTGAGGCTGCAGTGAGCCATGCACTTTAGCTTGGGTGACAGAACAAGACCATGTCTCAAAAAAAAAAAAAAAAAAAGATGCTCTTAACTTTCCACACATGGATGCTGCTATAGCTTGGATGTTTACCCCACCAAACCTCATGTTGAAATTTGATCCCAAACTCAGAGGTGGGATGCTAATGGGAGGAGTTTTGATCATGGGGTAGACCCCTCATGAATAGATTAATGTTCTCCCTGGGGTGGGGGTTGAGTGAGTTCTCACTCTATTAGTTCCCACAAGAGTTGATTGTTAAAAAGAGCCCAGCCCCTTCCATCTTGCTCTTTCTTGCTTCCTCTCTCACTGTGTGATCTCTGCACACACATGCTCCCCTTCACCTCCACCACAAGTGGAAGCACCCTGAGGCCCTCACCGGGTGCCCGATTTTTTCCAGACAGCAGAACCATAGAGCCAAATAAATCTTTTTTATGTATAAATTGCCCAATCTCAGGTATTTTCTTATAGCAACACAAATGGATTGAGAGAGATGCTTTATTGAGAAAATGAAAAGATGAAATTTCATGAATGCTTGTAGGCCTCCAAACTTCAGTGTCTATACTCTATATTTGCCAAGCTTTATTAATTTAAATATATATGTTTTTTAAGCAAAAGAAGAGTACAGCCAATCTTGGGTTTGGATAACACAGAGGTCTTATTTATCTCTGTGATATAACACCTTGTTACAGTCTTTTTTTTTTTTTTTAATAATGTTGGGCACTTCAGTCCTCAGAGGCAGGCCTTAAAAAACAAAATTTATCTCTGACTTTTCTCTACCCTTCTTTCCCTAGTGCAAAGCAGGACCCTAATCTTCCTCCCCTTTTCTGATTGTGGTCATAAGACCCTCACTTCAGAAGCAGTCCTGCTGCATACCCTGAAGGAAGGAATGCTACACAGAGAGGCCAAAAAGAATCTGCACAGACAGGTCTTGCTGGGTTTCTCTGCTTAGCCTGTTAGTATTAGATCATGTGACTCATACTAGATCATGTAATTGGACCCTTTTTGTCCAGCTGCATTTCTACATGATTGTCAATCATGGCTCTCCAATGAAGTCTCCATAAAAAGCTCAAGAGGACATGGTTTGGGGAGTTTCTGAATAGCTGAACACAAGAAGATTCCTGGAGGATGACACACCCAAGGAGGGAATGGAAGCTCTGCACCCCTCCCCCGTACCTCACCCTATGCATCTCATCCGTATCCCTTGCAATATCCTTTATAATAAGCCAGTAAATGTAAGTGTTTCCCTGAGTTCTTTGAGCCATTCTAGCACATTTGTCCAATCCAAAGAGAGGGTCGTGGGAACCTAACTTGAAGCCAGTGGCCAGAAGTTCTGGATGCCTGGACTTGCGACTGGCATCTGAAGTTGGTTGGAGTCTTGTGGGATTGAGCTCTCAACCTGTAGGAGCTGATGCTATCTCCAGGCAGACAGGGTCAGAACTGAATTGGAGGATACTCAGCTGGTGTCTGCTGCAGAACTGATTGCTTGCTCGGTGTATGGGGAAAACTCCCCACATTTGGTCACAGAAGTCATCTGTGTTGATTGCAGAGTGGTGTGAGAGCAGAGGAAAAACACAGTTTGAGTTTTTGCCTCCAAACTCTTTTACTCCTGTATTCCTTATCTTCTATGCACATTAAAAAGCAACAATGCAAAGTACTATATGGAATCAACCCAAGCATCCACCAACAGATGAACAGATAAAATGTGGTACATATACACAATGCGATATTATTTAGCCATAAAAAAGAATGAAATCCTGTCATTTGCAGCAACATAGATGAGCCTGGAGGACATTATGTTAAGTGAAATAAGCCAGACACAGAAAGATAAACACCACATGTTCTCACTCACATGCAGAAGCTAAAGAAGTTGAACTCATAGAAGTAAAGTGTGGAATAGTGGTTACTAGAGGCTGGAAAGGCAGGGCAGAGATGAGGACGACATAATGAGAGGATGGTTAAAGAATACCAAATTACAGCTAAATGAGAGGAATAAGTCCTAGTGTCTTAGCACTGATGGGTGACTACAGTTAACAATAACTTATTGTATGTTTTCAAATAGCTAGAAGAGAGGATTTTGAATGTTCCCAACACAAAGCAAAGCTGGGTGTGGTGGCAGACACCTGTAGTCCCAACTACTCAGGAGACTGAGGCAGGAGAATTACTTGAACCTGTGAAGTGTAGGTTGCAGTGAGCCGAGAGCCAAGATTGCGTCACGGCACTCCAGCCTGGGTGACAAGAGCAAGACTCCATCTCAAAAAAAAAAAAAAAAAAAAAATGAAGAGTCATGGTCCCCACCTGAGAAGATGAGAGGGAGATTCTAGGCAGAGGAAATGATGCATGAGCAAAGGCTTAGAGAGAGGAAAGTGCCAGATACGGTGAAGGACGTGGCTTTTTCAGCCTGGTCAATACACAGGGTTTGTTTCTGAGAAAGGGATGGACAAGCGTGTCAGGGTAGGTTGGTGGCCTGATGGGCTGGTGCCCTAGAAGCAGTAGGGCCAGCTGCAGGGGTGCTCCACCTCTGTACTACTGATGTTTTGAGCTGGATTATTGTTTGTGGGGTGTGCCCTGTGCATTGCAGCATGCTTAGCAACAACATTTCTGGCCTCTTCCCACTAGATGTTACTAGTACCTCTCTCCCAAGCTGTAACAACTAAAAATATCTCCAGACATTGTCAAATATCTTGGGGAATGGGGAGGATCACCCCCAGTTAGGAACCACTGAGCTAGGGGAATTGTTTAAATTCCTTATTTGGTTGTTCCATTGGCTCCTGCATTAGACAGAATTGAGTTAAGCTGCACTTAGAAAACCCAACTCAAGGTGATGTAACCAAATAAACTCTTTTCCACTTTCACTTAGAAGCCGTCTAGAAGTGGGCCAGCTGGAGCTTCTATCATCTTCACACTTCTGCAGTATTACCAGGGACGCAGAATCTCTTCCTCCTTTGTGTACACGGTTGCTTCACCTCTAACACCATATCTGCCTTCCAGACAGAAAGGAGGAGAAAGGCATGTGCCAACTGAGACAGCCCCACCTTTTGAAGAGCTTTCCCATAAAAGTCTTACCTAGCAAATTCTTGCATATCTCTTTGGCCAGAACTGTGCCATATGGCCATCCCAAACATCAAAGGAATCTGGGATATGTAATCTTTTCTCTAGGCATATTGCCATCTTAGACAAAACAAGAGTTCCGTAGTAAGGAAAAATGGAAGAATAGCTTTGGGAGGGCAATTATCAGTCTCAGCTACCCCTCCTAGCCTTGGTTTCTAGGTGTAATGACAAACTCAGCAATCTGTCTACAGGAATCTTCCAGAGGAAGCCAAAGAAACCTCCTGGGTAGCAAAGGTATTTGTGCAAATTTTCCTATTGAAGTCCTCTAAAAGGGGGCTCTTCATCTCTACCTACCAGTAGATTGTTCAAACCAGGATCAGGTTTTTATTTTATCTTCCTATAAGTGATTAAATTAAATCACATATCAGGTGGTTAAAAAACAAGATTTTTCAAGACCAGCCTAACCAATATGGTGAAACACCATCTCCACAAAAAAAAAAAAAAAAAAAAAAAAAAAAAATTATCTGGGCGTGGTGGCGCATGCTTGTAATCCCAGCAACTCAGGAGGCTGAGACAGGAGAATTGCTTGAATCCGGGCGGTGGAGGTTGCAGTGAGCCGAGATCGCACCACTGCACTCCAGCTTGGGCAACAGAGTGGGACTCAGTCAAAAAAAAAAAACACACACACACACACAAACCCACAAGAGTTTTAGAAGGGCTACATCTCTCTTTCCCTCCCATCCCCATCTCCCACTCCTCTGGTATCTACATGAGGCCAATGCAGTCACATGTCATTCCCATGGCAAGAATTCCATTAAATATCTCCTCTGCTCACTTGCTACAAAGCCTAAAATGCTACCATAAAAACTCTTTCCTTTGGGTCAAGTGTTACTTTCTCTAGGCATCTCTCTTTTTTGTTTTAGAGACAGGGTTTTGCATCTCGCTTTGTTGCCCAGGTTGGAGTGCAGTGATGCAATCATAGCTCACTATAGCCTTGAGCTCCTAGGTGTCTCTTAAAATGACAGTCTCCTCTGGCAGAAACGAGTATTAAATCTTTACTACGTTGGTGTTGATCTTAGTTCACTAGCCCTTTCTCCCCCTTGGAATTCCCAAGCAGCTTTGGAGCACTGAACCCGTGGGGAAGAAGGAAGAGAAATAGAGATAGCCTATCTGTCCCCAAGAGAAGTGGGGCATCCAGTAGTCTCACCTCCTTCCCCGTAAAGCCACAACTGTAACATCGGCTGGAGGTATTAATAAACTGCTGGTAAGTTTTGGTCCAGCAGACGGCAACTTCGTGACCTTTGAGTTGACTTTGCCTCCCTTTCTCTCCCCACCCACACTTCTCATCCTGAGGACTGAAGATCTGGCTTTCTCGTAATTTGCTCTGACACTCACTCAGGGAATGACACTGCTAGTAAGAGATAAATGCAGAGGATGGCAGGTGGGGAAACTAACATTCTCCAGGAACCCGCATTTCAATGTGACAGATGTTGACGACGCTGTCTTGTGTCCATTTCTTGCTACACAGGGCCTTCCTGTAGCCTGGGCTTTTCCAGGAGATATTGCTGACCTAGATCAGAGTTGCAAATGGGCAGGTCTCTGCAGTGCCACCTTCAGACCTGGACAAAAGACGTCTCTGCTCTGAACTCCCGACAATGCAGGGACTAGCACTGCCATTCCTCCTGCTACGCTCCTCTTGTTGGGGCAAAAAGTCCTTAGAACTAAGGAGACACCTACCTAGAACCCTGTGTCCCCCTTTAGACTGTGCCCAACATTCCAAGGACACCAGAATCCCCTTAGTAACTGGCCCTGGGCTGGCTTCCAGGAGCTGAAGCCTCTTCCCTGGATACTTCTTCCCGAGTGTGGACCAGACCACTGGTATGTGCATCTCTGGACCCAAGGGATGGGTCCTGTGGGGGTGAATGTGGACGGAATTTGGTCTTCCAGGCTGGCATGTCCGCCGGCATGAACTGGAGGCTGCTGTGGTACAGGAAGAACCAGGGGAGGGCAAGAAAGCGGCAAGCTGCAGTCCGGGTACTGCTTCTTTCTCACTACCTTGTGCTAATATAAAATTTTGAAGTGTCTAAGAATTCTGAGTTCAAACTTGGCCTTTTAGGTTGTGATGAAAGTATCCTTGTCAAGGAAGAAGAAAAGAATGTGTTTTGTTAACAACTTGTAAGCTTGATTTATAATGTTTTAAGTATTTTATTTAGACACATGGGCTGGATGTGGTGGCTCATGCCTGTAATCCCAACATTTTGGGAGGCTGAAATGAGAGGATGGCTTGAGGCCAAGAGTTCAAGATCAGTCTGGGCAATATAATGAGATCCCCTTGCTACAGAAAAATGAAAAAAACAAAAATAAAAAAATAGCTGGGTGTGGTGGCATGCCCCTGTAGTCCCAGCTACTTGGGAGGCTGAGGTGGAAGGATTGCTTGAGCCCAGGAGGTCGAGGCTGCAGTGAGCTATGACAGCAGCTCTGCACTCCAGCCTGGGCCACAGAGTGAGACCTTGTCAGAAAAGAAAGAAAGAAAAGAAGAAAAGAAGAGAGAAAGAGAGAAAGAAAGAAAGAAAGAAAGAAAGAAAGAAAGAAAGCAAAAAGAAAGGAGGAAAGAAAGGAAGAAAGGAATAAGAAAGGAAAAAAAGGAAGGAAGGAAGAAAGAAAGAAAAAAAGAAAGAAGGAAGGGAGGGAGGGAAGGAGGGAGGGAGGAAGGGAAGGAAGGAGGGAGGGAGGGAGGAAGAAAGGGAAGGGAAGAAAAAAAGAATTGAGAGATTTCATGTAGAAATTCTGATTTTGGCTTTTCTTGACAAACTGGAAGACATGGCAAGCCCAGGCCTAAATTCCCACATGGCACCATGGGAGAGAACTGAACGACAGACAGCTGCACACTCTCCTTAGTTTGCCACATTCTCCACCACTCCCAATTGCCCTACATCCAGTGGGTCCCATGCTTTCACAGTGCCTGCCTGGGTAGAAGGCGTTTGAGTGTGGGTCAAGTGGCCCACCAGACTGAGGGAGCCATCCCTGTCATGGGTAGAAGGCTGGGACAGAACCTGGTTGGTGAAACATCCAAGGTTAAAGCTACGGATGTTCAAATTTCTATTCATGGCTGCCTCTCCAATTTGCCTGCATGGACATGAAGTCAGCCTTGGCACCAGCTCCAGGCTCAGCTACCTGCTACCTCTACCGGGCTGACTAGACAGGAGAAGTGGAACTGCCTGGGGTCAGTAGAAAGTAGAGAATGAAAGGGGAAGAGAAGTCCTTGCTGAGAGATGGGAACCGTGCACGTGAACTCTGCTTTTCTAGTTCTGGCCCTGAATGTCATTCAGAAGATGCCGGCAGAAGTCATGTGCCTTCTGTGGGGGTTTCTGGGGAAAATCACAGTGCTAGAGCATGGGTGGAGATGAAAATCTCTGATTCAAAGAAAGCCTGCCCACAAGAGGCCAGGCCCTGGCAGAGATAGTAGCAAAGAAAGCTGGACTCAAAGTTCTACGTCTTTAGATCGTGAAAGAAGGCCAGGTGCAATGGCTCATGCCTGTAATCCCAACACCTTGGGAAGCTGAGGTGGGAGGATCGCTTGAGTGTGGGTAGTCAAGGCTGCAGTGAGCCATGATTGCACCACTGCACTCCAGCCTGGGTGACAGAGTGAGACCGTGTCTCAAAAAAAGAAAAAATAATAATTATGAAAGAAAAATGAATTATATTTTATGACTGCAACATCTGAAGTGAAGATCGGCTTCTTTGCTCTTCTCGTTAACAGAGGGGTGGGAAAGAGCTAGACAGAGCGTTAGCTACCAAAATCCAGGTTCTGAAGGAAATTAAGAAAGCTCCTCCTCATGACACATCTGCCCAGTCCACATGGAGGCTCTGCACTGAAAGGGGAGCCTGTTTTGCCACGTTTCGTTGGGAGACCAAAGGTTACAATGCAAGATTCTGTGCTGGGAGAAATGCCAGCACTCAGGGAACGTCTTCTGGGCTGTCTTCCCAGGCTCTGAATTACGGGGCTCAGCCCAGTGTCCACATCCTAGGCTCCCATGGGCACCAGCTTCTCTGGTGAGAGCCCCAAAGATTGCAATGTGCCATCAGAGGCTGTTGGGTTGGACTCCTCCCAAGGGGCTGTGACCCCACCACCTGCTGGGATGCAGCTCATCCAAACTTCTATGGCATTTAATAATCACAATAGCCCAACACTGGCATCATCTGAGAGGGGCAGGAGAGACACACACAGGGGAGGTCTAGAGTTGAAACTTGGCCTCAAACCGGCCAGAGTGGTTGGCCAGCGGGTTCAGGGGGCACTGACACAGGGAAGCAGGACTTCTCCTCCCTTCTGTCACCCCATGAGGGATGCCACCGGGGAGGCAGCAGGCAGAGGCTGTCCCTCTAAAGGACAAATGGATGAGACTGAGGGTGGCTACTGAAGGAGCTCAATCAGGTGGGCGCCTGGCACAATGATCTCCGTTGCTTTTGTCTCCAGCTGGCTCAGCAGGGGTTGTGTGTGGCCAGGCCCTGCTGCAGGCTTTGCTCGTGGGCAGTGGTGTGGGTAAGGCTGTGTCAGGCAGGCCAGCAGGCACTTGGCCTGGGGATCTCTGAAGAGCAGGGGGGTGGAGCATGCTGGTTTCAGGCTCTGCCAAACTGAAGATGACCCTGTGTTCCCTGAGCCCTCAAAGTGCTCAAATGGCAGCCTGCGGAGCCCTGCGGGGACAGGACAAGTCCTGTGCTCTGTATCACCGCCTTCTAAGGGAGGTGGAGTCTTCAGCAGGACATGTACACCACTGGCAGAGAAGTCCCTGTGGACCCAAGCTGCATGTTGCCCCTTGAGAGCATTAGGAAGACACCGCCTTCCATGTGAAGGGCAGCCTGGCACAGGGCCTGGTTGCAGCATCCGGAGACTTGGCTGTCAGGATGGAGCCAGTTGGCTGGGTGAGTGGAGTCATGAGTGGGAGACGAGAAGGTCAACCTGACTTACCACCTCACCAGGTGAGGCCATCCTGCACTGGGCCTTCTCCCGGACTAGGGGACAACCTGCTCATGGTCTAGAAAGCAGTGAAGAATGGAAGGTGGGAGGTCACCGTGAGGGGAGCATGGGAGGGCAATCCAGAAGACACCTAGGCTGGGCATGGTGACTCATGCCTGTAATCCCAGCACTTTGGAGGCCCAGGCGGGTGGATCACTTCAGGCCAGGAGTTCGAGACCAGCCTGACCAACATGGTGAAACCTTGTCTCTACTAAAAATAAAAAAATTAGCTGGGCATAGTGGTGCGTGCCTGTAGTCTCAGCTGCTAGGGAGGCTGAAGCAAGAGGGTCTCTTGAACCTGGGAGTCGGAGGTTGCAGTGAGCGGAGATCGTACCACTGCACTCCAGCCTGAGCCAAGATCTGAGAAATTCTGTCAAGAAGAAGGAGGAGGAGGAGGAGAAGGGGGAGAAGAGGAGGAGGAGGAGAAAGGAGGAGGAGGAGGAGGAGAAGGAGAAGGAGAAGGAGAAGGAGACACCTAGAGAAGGAATTGAAAGCTTCCCAAGTACATCAATAAACCATGGAAAAGAGGAGCTGTTAGTGGAGTCCCTAGAGCTCTTTGAGGGTACTAGAGTCCAAAAAACAAAGAAGGTCCCAACATCGCAGAATTTAGAGTGTCAAGGGACAGGGTGAAAGAGAGAAACTGCCTTGTCAGACTGGTTTCTTTTAAAGCATTTATTTAGAAAAATAACCGTTCCCTGCCCGCCTTGCTCTGTGCCATGGGACTTGAGCATCTTTCTTAATACTCTTCTGCATTGGGCCTGCAACCCACAGTGGTGGGGTCCAGCACACGCCCCTCGAAACGCTGCGGCACTGCTGGGAGGCCTCACGCCCTTCCAGTCGTGACAGTTCCCGTGTTCACTCCTTGTCCAGGCCTCTGTCTCCGGGTCTCCAGGTGGACAGGGGCCTCTGCGGGATGGGCGCAGCTCTGCCACAGTCTGTGTGCCCCTCCCGAGGCTCTGCTCTCCCCGCATCGGAAGCTCAGGGCTGGAAGCGCGGGGAGCTGACATGAGGTTGGTGGAATGCGTGGGCGCTGTACACCACCTCGGGGGGCGAGGGCGTGCTGGCGGCCAGCACCGAGCACAGGGGCTCGTGGCTGTTCAGCACCGACGTGAAGTACTTCAGTTCCTCTGTGAGCTGCTTGATCTCCTTGCGTAGAGCCGCGTTCTGTTTCTCCAGGTCTTCGCTCTCCTGTAGGGGTGGGGATCAGCACCGGAGGTTAGTGTCTAGGAAGGAGGCAAGGTGGGTGGGGTGCGGAGGGACACAGGAGGGGCCAGATTAGTTGTTCACTAGCACAGCCATGGAGAAGGGCACCAGAGAATTTTCCTGCACGTGTGAATGTGTGCACAAGTGTATATATGTTTGTAGGTGTGTATGGGCGCGTTTACGTAAGCACATGGGTGGGTGTGCATGTATACACATAGATATGAGGCTGAACCACGTGAAGCTGCTGATATTTGTCTGTTGTGACCTATAAGAATAGCAATTTCAGGCCGGGCGCGGTGGCTTACCCCTGTAATCCTAGCCCTTTAGGAGGCCGAGGCGGGCGGATTGCCTGAGGTGGGGAGTTTGAGACCAGCCTGGGCAACGTGGCAAAACCCTGTCTCTACTAAAATACAAAAACAGAAATTAGCTGGGTGTGGCAGTGCGCCTGTAGTCCCAGCTACTCAGGAGGCTGAAACAGAAGCATTACTTGAACCAGGGAGGCAGAGGTTGCAGTGAGCCGAGATTGAGCCACTGCACTCCAGCCTGGGCAACACAGCAAGACTACATCTCTCCTCCCGGCAAAAAAGCAATTTCATATGGTTCAACCTGATAGAGGGGTGTGTGTGAGTGTGTTCCTCTGCGTGTATGCATGTAGGGGTCTCTGTGAGGGTGTGTGGGTGGGAGGTGGCGGGAATACAGCAAGGGAAAGCAGCTGGCAGGCCAGAGCCTAAGGAAATGGAAGGTCGTTTGTGAGAACGTCTTACACCAGTTTCACTCTTTTCCACTGTGTTATGCCACGTGTTTTCCAAAAGCTCCCGGTGTCTGCATTTCGTCTTACAAATAAAGTCACTGGATACTTGTCTACTGCACCCAGATTCTAGAATGCTCAGGGTCTTTATAAATAGTAAATGGGGCCAGGTGCGGTGGCTCATGCCTATAATCCTAGCATTTTGGGAGGCGGAGGTGGGTGGATCACCTGAAGTCAGGAGTTCGAGACCAGCCTGGCCAACATGGTGAAACCCTGTCTCTAAAAATACAAAAAAAAAAAAAAAAAAAAATTAACCAGGCGTGGTGGTGCACACCTGTAATCCCAGCTACCCGGGAGGCTCGGGGAAGAGAATTGCTGAAACCCAGGAGGCAGAGGCTGCAGTGAGCCGAGATCATGCCACTGCACTCCAGCCTGGGTGACAAAGCAAGACTCCATCTCAAAAATAAAAATAAAAATAAAAATGAAATAAATAAATACTAAATGGTCAAAGTCTGCTACAACGTTTTGTTCCACCCTGTCCGGCCTACCAGAAAGCATTCTGACGGTATTTTGGGGGTGTCCCAAGCCTGTGAGCTTCTCTTTTTTCTGGAAACTCTTTTCCCTGTTGCTTGGGGGAACCATCAAATACATGCTAATCAGAAAAATGCCTGCTAAGAAGTGCTGATTTCTGATCACATCATTAATTAATCAACAATTGCAATCTGGTAATTAGCAATTATGGAAAAGCAATCCCATCCTCAGAAAGCCCAGGAGATCGCAATTCCGGTATAATTTTAAGGTTTACATTATTCGACTCAACCAAACAGACTTTCTCTGCTAAGCATTGGTAACCACAGAGGAAAGGCAAATATCATTGGAGATGCAAAAAAAAAAAAAAAAAAAAAATTTCAGTTCAAAAGGCAACCTGATATTTGGAGACCAGGTCTTACCTTTCTAAATCTATTTGGATTAGGTCAGTATTTCCCAAACTTGCCATATCATGAGAATTAATTTGAAGGCTTGTTAAGAATAGAATTTCAGGCCCATCCTAAAATCTAGGAATGTGAATCAGTGGTTTTGGGATTTGCGGAGTGAAGTCTGCAGATCTGAATTTTTTTTTTTTTTTTTTTTTTTTTGAGACAGTCTCACTCTGTCACCCAGGCTGGAGTGCAGTAGTGTGATCTTGGCTCACTGCAACCTCTGCCTCCCAGGTTCAAGCAGTTCTCCTGCCTCAACCTCCCGAGTTGCTGGGATTACAGGCAGGCACCACCACGCCTGGCTAGTTTTTGTATTTTTAGTAGAGACGGGGTTTCACCATGTTGGCCAGGCTGGTCTTGAACTCCTGACCTCAGGGGATCTGCCCACCTTGGTCTCCCAAAGTGCTGGGATTACAGGCGTGAGCCACCATGCCTGGCTGCAGAGCTGAATTAAAAAAATAATAATAATTTTTTTTTTAAATCCTAGCCACTAGACTACTAGGGAGTGAAATTTGGATTTTTAACTAGTGCCACAGGTCATTCTAATGATCAGGCAAGTTGGAAAGCACTAGTTAAATATTATTTTAAATTTGTTTTAATTATTCAAGCACTTATTAAATGCCTATTTGTTAATGCCTGGCTCAATGCCTGGCACATAGTATGAACTCAGATGTTTGTTGACTGACAGACTTATGACATCATCTGCTGGAATGAAGAAGGTAACTCAAAAATAGGGTGGGTGGTGAGCAGATGTAAGATAACTTGACATTTAAAATTTGCCCTAAATAGGCTGGGTGCAGTGGCTCACACCTATAATCCCAGCACTTTGGGAGGCCGAGGTGAGAGGATCGCTTGAGCCCAGCAGTTTTTTGGTTTTTTGGGTTTTTTTTTTTGAGACAGTCTTGCTCTGTCTCCCAGGCTGGAGTACAATGGTGCGATCTCAGCTCACTGCAACCTCTACCTCCTGAGAGCCCAGGAGTTTAAGACCAGCCTGTGCAACATTATTGAGACCCAGTATCTACAATAATAAAAATAAAAGAAAATTAGCTATGGAGCACCAGGGGTTGGAGGCTGCAGTGAGCCATGATCATGCCACTGCACTCCAGCCTCACTGATGGAGTGAGGTCCTCTCTCAAAAAATAAAATAAAATAATAAAATAAAATTTGCCCTAACGAATCCATCAGGTGCATGAGCTGTAGGCTAATGAGGTTAATCGGTTATACTGTCAATCATCTTAAACCCCACATCCTGGGGGGGGTCTTTCTAAATGGCAGAGAAGCATATACCAACATGGCCTTGCTCATCAAGCCAGGTTCCATCATCTGTGAAGGACAGACACAAGCATGCTCAGCCTCAACCTGGCATTTCTTGAATGGGGCTCTGAGCTAGAAAGTGTGCCAAGGTCAGTACAAAGGAAGCCCCTCTAAAACGGGGCAGAGGAGTTATCAAGAGCCACGATGATGGAGTCACAGCCCTGCCTTCTGCAAGGTGTGGCCGGCTCATTCATTTTACCATTTGGGTATTTCCTGGCACATCCCAGAAGGAGGGCATCCCCTCTTTACCGAAAGGTAAGATCAAGCAACACGATGAGACTAGGGGGTGTTGGTAAGACGGGAACTGGGGGCCGGGAGTCCTGGCTCCTTCCTCTAGCCCTTTTCTTCGCCCCCTCTGAGAGTTTCCACTGGTGACAACATTTACTGTAAATTCTGTGCTCTGAAGAGCCTGGGCAAACCCCGAGGCAGAAGGGAGGGCCACTCTGACCTTCTCCCCGCCTAGAGGCTGGCCCAGCTTTCGGGAAGTGACAGCGGGTCCTTCCTCCCTAAGCAAGCTCTGCTGAGCTCACTCTAGCTCTGTCGTCTGCCTCCCCCTCCCTGGCTTGCAGATCCCAGAGCTCTAGGCAAAGTTTGTAACCGCTGCCTGCTGCCTCTAACCAGAAAACCACCGCCAGTGATAAGAAACTTGTCTTTACCTTGGGAAGCAAGAGTGCTTCCTGCTAGGGCCCCCAAGAAACCTGCCCTGCCAGCCCAGGGACCGTGCAGCCAGCCTGACACTTATGAGAGAAAGGGTTTGACTTCCCTTGCAGGAGGAAGTGGCTGATCTGGGGCCTCGTCCCTCCATGTCCCTGCTATTGCCCAGTCCCCTCTGGCCCTCCTTGGGGCAGTCATGCCCTGGAAAGGGCTCGCCCAGCTGAAGGGACAACTGGCAAAGGTGGCATGAGAGCAGCTGTTTATCCAGAGGTACAACAGTGACATCCCCTAACAATGAGGGCTGGACACCTAGAGCACAGTGAGGCTGGGAGGAAATGCAGCTTCTCCCATATGCATGTCTTCTGCTACTGAGAGGGGTGGGGGTGAGCCTGCATTTGGGCATCCATGTACCCATCTTTCTCCTATTCAGAATTCATCCAGGTCCATCAGACTCCTCACAATAACGCTCTGTGTGGGATAGGGAAGGTCAGCTGTTATTATCCCCACTCTACAGATGAGGACAACTGAGACCCTGGGACAAACCTATGCCACATACCCTCCAAAATGACCACAGGCTGGTGACAGCTGTGCTATAGGATTCACCTCAAGGCACTTGTTTTCTCAGAAGTTCAGAAACTTTGAGTGTTTGATGCAAAGACTCATTGCCCGCGAGGGAGGCGCAGAGCAGGGCTTGGCTCGGGGCCCTGTGTTCCTTCTCTCACACTGACTGCTTCCCCCGAGAGACTGGAGACTTGAGTGGGCAAAGGTCTCCCGAGAACACTAGAAAGTTGGCCAGGTGCTGTGGCTCACGCCTGTAATCCCAGCACTTTGGGAGGCTGAGGTGGGCAGATCACTTGAGGTCAGGAATTCAAGACCAGCCTGGCCAGCATGGTGAAGCCCTGTCTCTACAAAAAATACAAAAATTAGCCGGGCGTGGTGGCGCATGCCTGTAGTCCCAGCAACTCCGGAGGCTGAGGCAGGAGAATCACTTGAACCTGGGAGGCAGAAGTTGCAGTGAGCCAAGATTTTACCATTGTAGTTCAGCCTGGGCAACCCAGCAAGACTCTGTCTCAAAAAACAAAACAAAACAAAACAAAAAAATAAGTCCTTGGCTACCCTGTTGTCTCCCAGGAGAAAGCTGGGTCTCGGTTTTGGTGACCCACACACAACACAACACAACACAAGATCCCTGAGTCACTCACATTCTTCCAATCATAGAGCTGACCATCTGCCTCCTGGGCTGCATGGAGAGGGGGTCACCTGGCCAGATATTCTGGACAAGGGCTGACTCGAGGCCAGACCTTCCTCCAGACACAGAGCCAGGTCCTGAACTCATGACCACGGTGAGCTCCATCAGCGGTAAATGGGAATAGGAACTTGGGCCCTGGTCCTGGCTGGGTGATCCTCAGTGACTCGATTTCCCTATTCAGCTCCAGTTGCCTCACTTTAAAATGGAAAGACTGGACCAAAACAATGATTCTCAACCTCATCCACACACTGGGGTCCCCTGGGGAGCTTTAGCAATCCTGATGCCTGATTCTGATCTAATAGGTCTAAGGTGTAACCTGGCTCAATTTATACGAAAAAGGTGGATAGAAACCAAAATTTTTTTAAAAAAATAGCCTAGGTTAACTTAACTATCATTTATTTGTTTATTTAATTTTTGAGACAGAGTCTCTCTCTGTTGCCCAGACTGGGAGTGCAGTGGTGCAATCTCAGCTCACCGCAACCTCTGCCTCCCTGGTTCAAGCAATTCTCCCCACCTCAGCCTTCTGGGTAGCTGGGGTTACAGGTGCCCGCCAATACACTTGGCTAACTTTTTGTATTTCTAGTAGAGACGGGGTTTCACCATGTTGGCCAGGCTGGTTTTGAACTTCTGACCGCAAGTGATCCGCCTGCCTCAGCCTCCCAAAGTTCTGGGATTTCAGGCGTGAATCATCCATGCCTGGCCAATAACTAACATTTATTGAATACTTCCGTGTGCCAATCACTCTTTTAAGTATTTTATGGTTATCATTACATTTGATATTTTCAACAAACTTGTGTGGTAGAAAATATTATCTCCGTTTTACAGAAGAGGAAAAACAGAGGAACAGAGAAGTTAAGTCACTGGCTCAAGATCACGCAGCTTGGAAGTTGCAGCACCGGTACTTGAATTGAGGCACTCTGGCTTCAGAGTCTGTGCCCTCCATCCTTTCTTGCCTTTAAAGTCTGTTTAAACGTTATACTGTTTGACAGTTCTCTCCTATGAGATAATTCCTCAGCCCCGGTGGCTTTCCAATTTTATCTTCCCTCTTTTCCCACCTCAGGCAAATCCCTCACCTGTGGGGTCATTTGATGCCACCTACCTCTACCATGAACCGCAAGCAGCTTGGGGGTGGCTAAGGAAGAGGCTTCCTGGGGGCGTGGGAACATTCTGGGAAATCCCCTACTGGAGGGGCTTAGGAGGGGGTCACTCACAGAGCGCTTCAACGATGGGGAATCCCCAGGCAGTTCCCTCACCCGCCGGGAGCCATTAGGGACGAAGACCAAGGACAAGGCTGGCATTTCCTAGCTGGGCCCTGGTGGGGACTGTCCAGGCACCCTGAGCAGGGCTGAGGCTTCCTCCCTACCAGCTCCAGTTTAGTGTCTTGGCCTTCTCCTTGCATTTTCTAATCACAATTTCCAGAAGGGTGAAAATAGTCCCTGTGTATTTTCTCCTCAACAGGACATGTAATCATGTATTGGCAGGGTGACCTTTTGGCTCCCACCTACACTTAAGTGGCGTTCGAAGCTTATCCCTCACACCCAGATATATGTTCAGGCTCCATCAGTTACCAGCCCCTGTACGTCACATGCAGAGGGTGGAGCCCGCCATTCCTGGAGCAGGCTTCCAACTGAAAAGTACGACTCTTCCCAAGCAGCGGGAGGATCTAGGCCCACATCTCCCACCATTCCTGGGGAAATTCACCCCAACTGCTGCCTCTCACCTTATGAAAGGAGAAGAAGAATCACCAAACCACAGATCTTTGCGCTGAATAATGCACGTGTGTGATTCTGGAGGAACCTTCACTTTCATGTCTTAGAGCTGAAGCTCTAGGGCCATAAGCACCTTTGCATTTACAGAAGATTGGCCACATCAGCCGTGCCCTCAGGGACCTGTCTAGTCACAGGGTGAAAAGGCTATCGCCTGGTCCTTGGTTTTCAAGACTATGATTTCATTGCCCTCAAATGTGAAAAAAACTATAGTTTGGTTCATTCAGCGTCCATCCCAAACCCCTTCTGCCTTGCCTTCCTCTAGAAAGACTGGGAAAAGAATTGCTAAAAAAAAAAAAAAAAAAAAAAAAAAATTCCAGCTTACCTTACCTTGTAGCTAGGGGTAGCCATGTGACAGAATTCTGACCAAAGATACGTAAGCAGAAGTACCTGATGGGCGGGAGGGAGGTGAAGGCAGAGCTTCCCTTCCTACCAAAAAGGCACAGCCTGCTCATAAGGACAAAGGCTTCCTTCCTTCAACATAGACTGATGCCGAGAGGCTCGGCACCCATCTCACAGCCTAGAGAATGAAAGCCTCATACTGAGGATGGCTGCTTAGAGAGAAGGAGCTTGGTTCTTCCTTGCTGTAGCCTGGTCTCTCCACTTTTGAACTTCTTGTTACATGAGAAAAGTAGGCCATGATTTGTTGATTCCTCATTTGATGGCTGGTCTCTCACTTGTCTCTGAATGCATGCAATCTTGGCTGATACTGATGCTTCGAGTTACAAAGGTTACCACTAGCAAGATTATCAATGTTCAAAACCAAACAACAAAACAAATAATAACTGCCATCAAAGCAAGGGTTTGAATAGTTTGTTTGTTTGTTTGTTTGTTTTTTGAGACCGTGTCTCGCTCTGTCGCCCAGGCTGGAGTGCAGTGGCACGATCTCGGCTCATTGCAAGCTCCGCCTCCCGGGTTCATGCCATTCTCCTGCCTCAGCCTCCCTAGTAGCTGGGACTACGGGCACCCGCCACCATGCCCGGCTAATTTTTTGTATTTTTAGTAGAGACATGGTTTCACCGTGTTAGCCAGGATGGTCTCGATCTCCTGACCTCGTGATCCACCCGCCTCGGGCTCCCAAAGTGTTGGGATTACAGGCGTGAGCCACCGCACCTGGCCGTTTGTTTTGTTTTAAGCCATCAGGCCACTGTATGTGACAGAGTATCTGTGTACTTACCCACACAATTGCCCCACACTCACTCCACACATTCTGCTCACTCCACACATTCTACTCACTCCACATATTCAGGTACAGACCTGATAGGCTGCAAATGTACTGCTTCTGATTCTCAACCCTGGCTGTGCACACTGCCAGCACCCGGAGAGCCTTAAACAGTCTGGATTCCTGGATGCCAGACCCCCAGAGGTTCCAATTTAATTGTTCTGGAGTGGTTGCAGGCATCAAGACTTTAAAAATGCTTCCTAAGTGAGCCAAATGGGCAAAAAATCATGTTCATAGTGGATTCCTTTTAATAATAACATAAGGCCAGGTGCAGTTGCTGTAATCCTAGCACTTTGGGAGGCTTCTTTGGCAGGAGGGTCATTTGAGCCCGGAAGTTTGAGACCAGCCTGGGCAACATAGTGATACCCAATCTTTACAAAAAATTTAAAAGTTAACCAGGCATAGTGGCACACACCTGTAGTCCCAGCTATTTGGGAGGCCAAGGTGGGAGGATCATTTGTGCCTGGGAGGTGGAGGCTGCAGTCAGCCATGATCGCACCACTGCACTCCAGCCTGGGAAAAGAGTGAAACCTTATCTCAAAATAATAAAAATATAACATAACTATATAGTGTTTGATTTTATTAAATTTGTTTGTTAACAAACAAATTAAATTTGTGAGACTTGCCCAGTTGTGAAAGGCCAAGCCCCTGAAACTACTGATATCCTTAAAGAGTTTATATTTTTACATATTTTCATTTTATTAAATATGTATTTTATTTTATCATTTATAGTATAATATTAAAAAATTTAAAGAGTTGGGAGACTATTTCTAGTTAAAAAAATTTCTAAAACAAAATGTCCATTTAAGCACACTACTATTATATTCTTAAATTGGTGGAAACAATTCTAAATAGTCCAGCACAGTTCATTCATATAATGGAAAGGCAAGAGCTCAGGGATCTATTCGTGTTTCATTAATTATAACTTTAACCGTTTCGTTTCCTTACCATTTACATTGTTGAGCTCTGTGAGGGCAGGAGCTATTATTGTCTTCACTGTTTTGTTCTCAGTGACAAGGACAGTGCCTGCCATAGAGTAAGTGTTCGATCAAATCACGTTGCTTGACTGCCAACTTATAATCTGGAATAATTTTCCAAAATCTGAGATGTGCCTATGAAGAAGGGTCAGCTGAGTAAATCTGTGATGTCCATGAGAATTCCTAGAGAGTGATTAACCACCACTCAAACACTTTAATAGCTTCTACTTTGTAAATCTGGGATACTTCCAAATGAATCCAAGAGATTCATTTTTTCAAAAGGCCTAGGTCAAACCTCTGTTTATTCCCCAAACTGAACCAACAGCGTGGGAGTGGCAGAATTACAACCACTTTAAGAACTTCGTCGTGCCATTTCCCTAGTTCAAATTTGACCCTCTCTCCATTCATACCCAACAAAGGAGACTTGCCTAGTTGTGAAAGGCCAAGCCCCTGAAACTACTGATATCCTTAAAGAGTTTATAAGCAACCAGAAAGAAGAACGTGTGTGTTCATGTAGGATAATATATCTGATTGATTTCTAGGAAAAGGGCAGGCTGTCTGCATTAAACAAAGGAACAGTGTAAAAAAAAAATGACAATATTGCTTTGTTCTTACATTTGCCCTCTCAATTAAACGGTCAAACAGCCTAGTGAGGTGCTATTGCTTCTCAACTTATGATCAGAGTTTAGGTTCAGAGAAATCCCCCAGGCAGGGTTTGAATTAGTTGGGTCCCCACCACATGCCCCATCCAGTTCCTGCTCCTAGCAGCACAATTGCCTTTATTTTATTTTATTTTATTTTATTTTATTTTATTTTAAAGACAGGATCTTGCCCTGTTGCCCAGGCTGGAGTGCAGTGGTGCTATCACAACTCACTGCAACCTCGACCTCTTGGACTTAAGCAAATCTCCCGCCTCAGCCTCCCAAGTAGGTGGGACCATAGGTGCATGCCTGGATATTTAAAAAAAATTTTTTTTTGTAGAGATGGGGTTTCACTGTGTTGCTCAGGCTGGTCTCGAACTCCTGGCCTCAAATGATCCAACCAACTCGGCCTCCCAAAGTGCTGGGATTACAGGTGTGAGCCACTGTGCTCAGCCCTACAATTGCCATTATTACTGAGTTCCTCCTCACTCCCTTATGGTCTTGAACTTGGTCTCCACCTTACCAAGCACCTTTCTGACCTTTGCCTGGCCTCGCAGCTTGGCCTCAAGGCTCTCTAGGCTGAGATCACCCTCTCCCCAGATCTTTCCAGTCTCCTCTTTGATTCACCTTTGATCTCAAATTCCAGGGCCTCAGGAAGGCCTCCCCTGATCGCTGCCCCAATCCCGTCCCTTAGACACTTTCCACATTGCATGATTTCATCTTCTTTGAAGCACTTTACATGTCATGTGATTAGTGTGTTTATTTGTTTTCCAGCCTGACTTCCAACTGACTGTAAGGTTCGTGAAATCAGAGACTCTGTCTGTCCTGTCCCTGCAATATTCTCAGTGCCTAGAACGAACTGTTCCTGGCTGATAAATATTTGTTGAGTAGATGAATCACTTCCGCTGATCTCAGCTCTAGTACTGATAATATGGCCTTTGCTTTATAATTTTCTGTGTCATCCTACTCTCTTAATGATAAGACATATTCTTATGCCAGCTGAGTACCCTTTTTTAGTTACAGGGTCCTCAGTTGCAGGAAATCACATTTTGGTCATAGGAATCCAGTCCCCTCTACTTGACTCTGAACTTTATCACTTCTGAGTTTTCATAAGAGCTTCATGTCATCTTTCTTGGTTTCCCTGTCTAGGGTGACCAGACATTTACTGGGACACCTGTTTTCCTGGTGTAATATTTACAAGTTCCATCTTCCACTCTCGAAGTATTCCTATTTGGGGTATAAATTATAAGGTCTCCTACCAAAACCTGATCCCCAAATTCGAGCTCAGTAATATTGTCTCTTTGTACTTGATGTCCTCCAGAGTTCCTTCAGCTCTCTATTTGGCCATTTTCTTCTGTTTCTTTAAAAATAAAAAAATACAGTATAACTACATTAAAGATATTTTTTAAAAGTTAAAAACGCCCATGATCCTAGTCCCTTAATACAGCTGTTTTCATTTACACATATTGAGATCTCATCCTTTTTGTTGACACAGGGTCTCACTCTATTACCCAGTCCAGAGTGCAGTGATGTAATCAGGGCTCACTGCAGCCTCAACCTCCTGGGCTCAAGTGATCTTCCCACCTCAGCCTCTAAAGTAGCTGGGTGCAAGCTACCACGCCTGGCTAATTATTTTTATTTTTATTTTTATATTTTGTAGAGACAGGATCTCACTCTGTTGCCCAGCTTGGTCTCAAGTCATCCTCCTGCCTTGGCCTCCGTATGTATTGGGATTACAGGCATGAACCATCCCACTTGGCCATCTCATCCTTTTGAACAAACATGCATACTTATTTTTACAAAATTTCAATCATAGTACACATACAATTTGTATTTTGCTTTCTGTCATAACTTTGTCACATCTACATAGTCAACATAATTTTTAATGACTGCATCATCAAATTGATTATCCACAATTTACTTAAAGTGGTCTTCTAATGCTGGACATCTTGGTTGCTATCAAATTGTCACTATTAAAAATAATGCTGAGATGAACATCGTGATGCACACTGGGTTTTGTCTCTGTTCAGTGATTTCCTTGGAGAAATTCCTAGGAATGAAATGAATGAGGCAAAGGAGGCATTCAATCTTCCCAGTCCTGAGAAGTATTACTGAAAAGGGGTCATATCAAGTATATAATGTCACCACTAGCGAATGCTTCTATCCATTTCACTACAACCTCACTGGCATTTAGGTGTTATAATTTTAAATAATTTACTTGTTGCCAATTAGCTTGATGAAGGCTTCTTAATTTCATGTTAATGTTACAGGTTGTCAAGTATTAAGGAGAAAGAACAACTTTCCATGTGTCTTTCTCCTTAGTGTAGCGTTCTCAACTAGGACTGATTTTGCCTTTCCAGGGACATTTAGCAAGTTCTGGAAATATTTTTGGTTATCAAACTAAGCAGGGTGAGGGGGTGTTCTACTGGCATCTTGTGGGTAAATTTTACATTTTACAAGGCACAGGACAATCCCCAACAACAAAGAATTATCGGACTCGAAGTATCAGTTCCACTGGGGTTGAGAAACCCTGCCTTAGTGTGTATCGTTTTCATAATCAGAATAGGAAATTAGGGTATTTTCATTTTGGTAGGAAAAATATTATGTAAGCTTTCTGTTCATTGCCTCTGCCCACTTGTCTATTGGAGTCCTGATGTTTTGCTTTATAAGAGTTTCTTTCTGTAGCATAAATATTAAACCTTCATTTCTTTAATTTGATGCAAATATTTTCCCCAATATGTCACTGCCCTTTCTAATTTTGGATTACAACTTTAAAATCTCTTTAAACAAAGAAACATTTACACTTCAGCCCCTGTCAAGTTTGGACTCACTCTCTTTCTGGTCTCATGTATAGCCGTATGTTCTGGAGCTGATGAGTGTCTAGGCAGTTCAAGTGTTCTGGTTAATGGCCTGCTTCTTGGCCCACCTTTGCAATAGGCCTTATGTAAACACCTGCCTAGTAAAGCTCTGTTCAGCAAAGTGGCATGAAACAAAAGCAGACTGGTGGGAAGGCAAGAGGTTTGGGTTCTTGGGCGTCCTCAGTTTCCTCATTGGAAATGTGGCAAGTCACCCTAGAAGATCTCTGAGTTCCCACTTAATTCTGAAATTTTATCAACAAGGTAGTATGACTATTATGATTGTTATTCCCTCCACAAGCCATCATGTGAACCCGTAGTGGAACCCTCTACAGATATCCCACAATCTGAAGGGGCCTTTATACTGTGGACCCAACCCACCCCTCCTAGGAAGCAGGGGACTAGACTAAGTTCAAAAGAGGGGAGTAAGAAAACCTCTGAGAAGCTTGCACAAGGGCACTCTGGGGAGACTCCCATTCTGCTCAAGAGAAGGAAGTCTGGGTGCTGCTGAGAATAGCTCCATCAAGACATCTGCTGAACAGGCAGCTGTCAGTTTGTGACCTAGGACCATCATCCTATGTAGACAGACAGTCATTCTTTTTTTTTTTTTTTTTTTGAGACGGAGTCTCACTCTGTTGCCTTGGCTGGAGTGCAGTGGTGTGATCTCAGCTCACTGCAAGCTCCGCCTCCCAGGTTCATGCCGTTCTCCTGCCTCATCCTCCCGAGTAGCTGGGACTACAGGCGCCCGCCACCACGCCTGGCTAATTTTTTGCATTTTTAGTAGAGACAGGGTTTCACTGTGTTGGCCAGGATGGTCTCAGTCTCCTGACCTCATGATCTGCCCACCTTGGCCTCCCAAACAGTCGTTCTTTACAGCATCAACACCAGCATGGAGCTGGACTCCCAATTTCCAATATGCCTCCCAAACTTAGCCATGCCGACCCGTCATCGGTAAGACAAGCAGTTAGGGGTGGTGGATTTCCTTGATGTGTTTTCCCTCCCCAAATGAAAATAGCCTAATTTTTAAAATTCTGATTTTTAAAATGGCACACATTCATTATAATAAAAAAGAGAGAAAAGTACCAAGAATAAGATGAACTACCCAAACTCAACCACTCATAACTGCTATTAGCATTTTGGAGAATATCCTTCCGGATATCTCTTTATGCATGCGACCATGCCCAAAACCCACAAATTTTACGTGAAAGGGTTATACTCTGCATGCTCTTTGTAATTTGCCTTTTTCACTTAATGCTGTATCACTGACATCTTTCTATGCTGATAAATACAGATCTACATAATCATTTTTAGTACCAGCATAAATTTTTTTATTGTATGAATGTATCATAATATGCTTCATCTTCTGTTGTAAGCCCCCTGTCAAGTTTTATAGCATTGTTAAAGTATTTACTATTCACAGATAATGATGAACTAAGCATCTTTGTAAATTATTTTTTCTTCAAACTCTGTTGTGTCAAAGGTAATTCCTGTGAAAGATGTTAACATTTATTGCTACACAGACTTCTCAAAAAAGATTTCAATTGACATATTGTATCATTTGATATACCAATTGTATCTATCTATATATAGTACCTATCTATATATGTTGATATCATGATATATATGACATATATGATATCAATTGTACAATGGATATACTGTATTGAAAGTAAACATGTCTTTACTTTCTTGATCACGCCTGATGATGGCTGGGGGACAGTGTAGATTTTGGAGGATATTGCTTAAAAGACAAAAAAATTAATTCATGTAGAGATTCAAGGAAAATATAGGTTAGGGAAGATGAATACATCTTCATCAGAGTTTGAAGAAAGAGGCAGTAAAACTTAATGGTTAGGAAAATGGGTTCTGACGTCAGACAGACCTAGTCACAAGCTGTGTCATCTCCATCAAGTTACTTAATGCAAGGAATTATAAAATACAGCTTTTATGCAGATTAAATGAGATGCTGCAGGGAGAGCACTTGAGGCACAGTGGTTAATACATAGTCGTTTGTTCAATTAACATGGTTTTTTCTTAAAAGAAATTCATAGCAATGGAGACAGAAGGGTCGCATCTCTTTCCATAGATGGTTCACTGATTCTACATTGAACTTTTTAAGGGTGGAACTAGCCTGAACATTCCTGACCTGTGACTTATCTGTGCCAACAAACATTATGGCATGGTCTCCCAGAGAGAGCAAAAGAATTCCAGGAGTGAAATAGGACCGTAAGCATCCTTCTCTGCCTCCTCAGAAGGCCAAGAACAATAGTGCTACCCAAACATCTTTTCCTCCATTACTCAATTTTTCTCCAATTGTAAATACCGTATTTCTCACAGTGTTAGCTCAAAGCTTCATTTAATGCATAATTTATACTCATGACTTTTCTGTCATATATGACAAAGCACATCCCTGGAGCCTGTAAACCTCTCTTTTTTCTTATACTGGTGTGAGACTCCTTCAGGAGGCAGCCCCAGGCAAGCACCTGGCCCACTTCCATCTAAGACAGTACCTAAATCTCAAGCTTTCAAACTTGGCTGTTACTCTCACTTGCTTTCAGCTCCATCCACCAGGCCAGATATGACTTGTCAACAGCTCGGCTCAGGGCTAACACTGCTATTTGCCACTGCTCCCGGCAACTCCACTGATTTTAGCCTTTTCATGAATAAAGCTTCTTAATTGACCTCAGCTCTCTTTTCCACTGATCCTGGTCTTTGACTTGAAATCCTTCCAGCTGTACGGCACCAGATAGCCATGACCAACCAACCAAGATGGCTACACAAAGGAAACGGATTTGCCATCTTTTATCATATAGTACTGTGGACCTTAGAGTCACTCAAATCCCAACTTACAGTTGGTTCTCCCAAGGGCTGAGATATTTATGTATGATGTTCAAAAGATAACGTCAAGATTGAATACTCTTCCATGTCGTGATGGAAGATTATTCAATGTTTGATGTCAAAATTAGAAAAGAAATCCTCCTAATGCATGTGTGGTAATGATCAATGCTGAGAATTTTGATATCTATATTATAAAGATAAAAGCATGTGATAAAAAATCCCAAACTGTATAAAAGGTAAAGAATGCCAAGTATCTCCCTCTTGCTTTAGATCTTTAGTCCTACTTTTCAGAAATAAATATCATTAACAATTTTTTATAATCTATTTGAAAAAGTTTGCATTTATACTTATGCATATATGTAACTTTTTCTTTTTATTAAAAACACAGAAGGGGCTGGGTGCTGTTGCTCACACCTGTAATCCCAGCACTTTGGGAGGCCAAGGTGGGCAGGGCAGATCACTTGAGCTCAGGAGTTCGAGACCAGCCTGGGCAACATAGTGAGACCCTGTCTCTAAAAATAAAAAATAAATAAATAAATAAAACATTAAATTAAAAAACTAATGGTAGCAAACTATGGACTATATTTATGCCTTTTTAACTTAAAGTACAGAAGTGATAATCCTTCCAGATTAGCACATTCAGATGTAACTCATTATTTTAACATATCTGCAATATTCCACAGAATGGACAATAATTTATTGAATCCCTTATTGGTGGATTTTTTTAGCTTATGTTCAGTCTTTCCTATAAGAAACAATGCAGCAATGATTATCTTTACATGTACAGAATTGTATGATGTGTGGATTTGTTTGTGAACACACTCCTGGATGTCAAATTGCTGAGTCGCAGGGTATGTGCACCTATAATTTGAATGGACGTGGGCAAATTGCCTTCTACCAGGGTTATGCAGACTCTACTACTAGCTGTGTGTGATGGTGCCTGCTTCTCCATTACCTTGGCAACATCGTGTATCAACAACATGTTTCATCTTTGCCAGCCTCACTGCTGCTTTAATTGGCATTTTCCTAACTAAATAAGGTCTACCATCTTTTCACACATTTATTTGCCACTTATTTCTCTTTTCTGTAAATTGCCTATTCATAGTCATTGTTCATTTTTCTTTACTTTTTTTTTTTTTTTTTTGACGGAGTCTCGCTCTGTCTCCCAGGCTGGAGTGCAGTGGCGCTATCTTGGTTCACTGCAAGCTCCGCCTCCCGGGTTCACGCCATTCTCCTGCCTCAGCCTCTCAAGTAGCTGGGACTACAGGCACCCGCCACCACGCCTGGCTAATTTTTTGTATTTTTAGTAGAGACGGGGTTTCACTGTGTTAGCCAGGATGGTCTCGATCTGCTGACCTCGTGATCCGCCCGCCTCGGCCTCCCAAATTGCTGGGATTAAGGCGTGAGCCGCCGCGCCCGGCCCATTGTTCATTTTTCTTTTGGGTTGTTAATCATCTCCTATTCATAAGAGCTCTCTCATATAGTAAGTAAACATACCTTTTTTGGTCATATGTATTACAGATATTTTTCCTCAGCTTGTCATTTGCCTTTGATTTTGCATACAGTATTTTGATCTATAAAGAAACTTTTACTTTTTATGAATAAAAGTAATGTATATCAATCTTTTCCTTTATGGCTTCAGGGTTTTATGTTTTATTTAGAAAATAATTCCTCATTCCAAGATAAATTTTTAATGGTTATTTGTCTTTTCAAGTTTCTTTAGCTTCCTTTTTTTAAAAAATTTAACATTTACCATGTTGGCCAGGCTGGTCTCGAACTCCTGACTTCAAGTGATCTGCCCACCTTGGCCTCCCAAAGTGCTAGGATTACAAGCGTGAGCCACCGTGCCCAGCCCATTTTGTATTTATACTTGTGTCCTAGGAGTTGAAATATGTATTTGGGTCTTAAAATCTGAATTTGTTTTTGGGTCTGTTTCCATATTCTATCCTGTTCAATGTTCTGTCTTTTCCACATTGTTTTGATTTCTGTATTTGTGTTTCACTTTAATATGTTGGTCAGTTAATCTTTTTTCATTATACTTCTTCTTTAGAATTTTCCTGGCAATTGTCATATGATTTTTTTTCACTGGAAACTTAGAATAGCTAATCTAGTTCTTGCCCAAATCCCAGAAAACCCTATTGGGTTTTTTATTGGGATCTCATTAAATTTATCAATTAACTTAAGGAAAATTGCTAACTTTACATAAGGTATATCTTTCCAATTATTTGAATCTTTTAAAAATCATTTAGGATACACTCTTCATAATTTTTGTTAAATTATTCCTTCCTTCCATTTGCTGTTGTCATTGGTATTATAAACAGGATCTTTCCTTCCATTAATTTCCTAATTGGTTATGTTTTGCATATAGGAACGTTATTACATTTTGTTTTAATTTTAGAAGCTGACTGCATTCTCTTATTATTTCAAATAATTTTTCAGCTGATTATCTTAGGTCCACTTATTAGCTATTGATATCTTTTAGAAACTAACTGGTCAAGTTATGCCTTTCTCTTTTTTAATCAACATCTGTACTATATACAATGAACCCTACAGTTGTCTGCAGGAGAAAAGGAACTAAGTGTGCAGGGTGCTTGTGTGAGATGCTCAACAAAAGGAGAATTAAAACAGAATTAGATTGTTTGTTGATGTCACAATTACGAAAGGAATCACCGATCCATTTTATGTCAGAGATAGTCAAGGCCAGGGATTTATAACACAATCATAAAAAGAGGCTCTCTCCCTACTCTGTCAATTTTTAAAGCAATCGATGTACAGTGTCTTGGTGCCAGCCATTTATAGGATAGATGCTGAAAATGTCGAATAGTAAGCATCCCACACTCTCACTAGAGGAACAAGATAATTGTTTCAGTATTTTAAGGTTGATAATAGTGACAGCAGTTGAAACTAAGAAAACATACCAGTATATATGAGGCTAGAACCCTAATAGGAATGTGGTCCTTTTTTGATATGGTACTCTCAGTAGCTCCCAAACCCTCATCTGTAAAGCACTGGTAGGCGAGGCCTATGGCCATGTCTGAGGGCCAGAGAACAACCCCAGCATGTGGAGCCAAGCATGGAAAGGAGTCAAGGGCAAACCACACACTGAGCCCTGACACTGGTGGTAAACCAGAAGACTTTTCACCTGAATCTCAGACATAATTAAGAGGATAATGGATGGAGAAGATAGGTGATTGTCATCTCGGAGGAAAGGAAGATGTCAAACCACAGCTAATTTGATGTAGGGCAGATTGAACACGTTGCTGCCAAAAGCTTCTACCTGAAGCCAAGAAACATAAGTTGCATTGGCAGCAGTCCGCAGGCTTGCTGCATCAACTCCGCTGCGACCTACTCATTGGGCAAAAGGTAAAGACGATGCTGTGGTGCTCAAAAGAAAGCAGTGGAGGAGGAATCTGTGTTCAGATGTGGGGAAGATTGGAACATTCTAGAAACTGAGGCTGGGGTGTGGCTATGGATATGTTGACTATATGACTTGGGGCTCTGTGGACCCTCAAGCTCTAGAGATTACCCTAATGTCACATGACTTGTATAATTAGATGAGCTGACTCTTTGGGCTCTGACATTTGTCTTGGAGAGGGAGAGAGCTGATTCAGTGCTGAAAGCCTTGCCGCAGCAAAGAGACATCTGTGTCACCCTCATTAATACGTTCCCCAAGGGTTTGGATGAAGACCAGTGAGTTGAATTTACAGGGAGACAGGGGTGCAGCTTAACATAGGAAAGACTCTTCTGTTCATAAATTGGGAGAGAGGAAGATCTCCAGCCCTAGAAGTGACCAGGCATACAATGGGACCATTGGCTGGAGGTGTTGCAGAGAAGTCTGAAGCATCAAACTTATGTCTAAACTTTCTAGCCTTTAAGAAACCTTTCAACCCTGAGCTTCTGTGATTAAATATACACAAAATGTATATATGTTTTCATATATATATAAAATGTGTGTATAATTTGTGATTATCTTGCTTCTTATGATAATTATTATTACTCTTATTATACTTAAATTTTTGAGTATTTATGAATGACAGGCATTGTGTTGGGCTCTTTAAATGTACGATCTGTATAGGGTAGTTATTGTCATTTTCCATTTTCTAGATAAGGAAACCAAGCCCAAGGGAGGCCAAGAACGTCTCTGTCACACAGATAGTAGGCAGCAGGGCTGGGATTCAATCCCTGTTCTGACTGCTGAGCTGCCGAACTATACTTACATTCCACTTAAGAAAACAGGTACACACTTAAAAAGCTTACAGCAGTTTGCCAGTCTGAGGACATTGTCTACTTGTACACAAGGAAGATTTTATCCTTTTAAATTTTGATTGGTCTGTTTGCTTGCCCTAAAGAATAGTGAATCAGAATCAGACTCTGATAGAGAAAGAGGTAAGGATCATAGATGTTCAAGCTTAAGGTGGTAAACCAGAATGTGGGGACACAGTGAAATCATGGAGAACATACAAGCAGCAGGGCCACCAAAAACTTGACATTCAGACTGTTGAGCACAGTTAGTACAGACTTTCTGTTCATTCATTCTTTCCAAAAAGTTAACAAATAGCTGTGAATTTAATGTTAGTGTGCAATGGAGTGTAAGCTGAATACATTTCAAATAAAACCCAAGCACCCAATCAGAGCTGTTGGTGCAGTCTGCTCTGTTTCCTTGTAAAGCTGAAAGATGCATTATTTCCCCTAAAACTACATCTTACTTACTTATTCTTGATACGGTTAACACAGCCATTCTAACTGGCTGATTATCATGCTAATCTTCCAGATAAATACAAGCTTATTGATTTTTGGTGCCAATTGCACTTTTTCCATGGAAAGGAATTGCTAGGCTATTAGAGGTAAGGGAATGTTTCTGGAGCAAGGGCAGGAAGGTAGAGTTGCTAGGGAAGGGGATGAGGGGATGGAGAGAAAGGAACTAGTGAAGAGTTGGTTGAACAAGAACCATACTGGGGGCAGAGTGAAGAGAGGTAAGGTGGTAAGGTATGAGCAATGGGGAGGAAGCAGTACTTTATAAGGGGCACAGCCAGAACCTAGAAACACCATCTAGGGCCTTGGCCACTGGCGGAACTGCAGTTCAGCACTGCTCAAGGCCCCTGGACCACTCAAGACAGAGGTAAAAGCTTTCTCTAGAAAAATTTGGGACTAGAGGCAACTCAACTAGGATGGTGATCATCCCAGATAAGGGCACTTGAAATTGCATCTTTCATAGACCCCTTGGGATACCATTAAAGACAGAAATTTCAAAATAAGACTTTAATAATGCTCTGAAAAGAGGAATCTGGTACAGCGCCCTGTGAATTTCCTTGTGTCAAATGCAGGGGCATTTGGGTCTCTGCCAAGGGATGCGACTATGTGTGGTCCTTGCACTGCGAGACAATGGGCCGTCCCCAAAGCACTTGATACCTTCTAAATTCTTTCCCAATACAGCTCTGCCTTCTCCCACCCCTTGAGCCCTCCTGGGGTAGAAAGGCCCATTTCTCTGTTCAGCCTCCTGGCCCATTCCCTGCTACAGAGCCTTCTATTTTTTTTTTTTTTTTTTTGAGATGAAGTTTCACTCCTATCACCCAGGTTTGAATGCAATGGCGCGATCTCGGCTCACTGCAACCTCTGCCTGTTCAAGTGATTCTCCTGCCTCAGCCTCCCAAGTAGCTGGGACTACAGGCATGCACCACCATGCCTGGCTAATTTTTTGTATTTTTAGTAGAGACGAGGTTTCACCATGTTGGCCAGGCTGGTCTCGAACTCCTGACCTCAGGTGACCCACCCGCCTTGGCCTCCCAAAATGCTGGGATTACAGGTGTGAGCCACCACGCCCGGACTACAGAGCCTTCTTAAAGCACTCTCACGACAGCTTCCCTTCCCTACCTCACCCCACGGCCCTCACCCTCCACTAACCCACCCCACATACACATCCCCACACAAGCAGAATCAAAGCTATGGTCCAAGGGTTCCCAGATGGCGGAGGGCAAAGCCTAAAGCTCACGAGGATGAAGATTGATCTGAACACTTACCAGGTGCAGGGTGTCGGCCTTCTGTGTCTGCCTCTGTCGGCTCTTCTGGGCGGCAATACGATTTTTCTCCCTCCTCTGAACTCTTCTCACATCATCAGATGAGTCCTGGGAAGCAGAGACGGGGAGGATTACATGGGTCTGCATCTCCCTTCTGAGTGAAAGCAGGCTCTGGTGGTGTGTGGTATCCGTCCAGCCATCCTTCCATGCCTTCGTCTCTGCATGAACCCTCCATCCCTCTATTTACCAAAAGCCTGCACCCGAAGGAGAGCTCTTCTCCATGCCTGCTTACACATTCCCAGGTCTCTGACTTTTTTGACCAATAGCTACAGGAAAAAGAAAAGAGAACTTGAGGACTCAATAGAGCTGTATTTGGCCAAAAAAAAAAAAAATGGTTAAGGCGATGAAGTGTGTTTTATCACCTCTCCTCTGTAGGGCTGCTCCACCCTCGCCCTCTCACTTTTTGGCCTTTAGGCTCTTCTTGCTGTTCTTTTAGCTGTTTTCTTTTTTTCAGACTTTGTTGAGTGCCTACTATATGCCAACCTCTGGGCAAGTGTTCTTTCAGAAGTGCTCTTGTTTAATTCCCCAATGCTGTGAAGTTGATATCATCATTTCCATTTTATATGTGAGGAAACTGAGGCTCTAAGAGTGTGCCCAAGGACTCCTGGTCATCTGAGAGTGCTACATCTTCTGGTGCTGAGCCCAATGGCTTTCCAAGACCCTTCCCCGCTAGCTACTCTGCACCCCATGTGGTCTTCTGCTGCATTCCTGAGCTGAGGGTGCATCCCAGATCTGCCTCCTCTTTCCTTCCGTTGTGCTCAGCCACTGTGACATTCCCCATGGCCCCAGCACAATGCCTGGCACATCAATGCCAAAAAGAACGTTAATGGTGGAGGTGACCTGGCTGTGGTGGGCAGTAGATGGGTGCTTGGTAGGATAAGGGGATCTTTGGGTGTTCTCTAATTACACCCAGAGAGAGGCATGTCCTGTGCCTGGGCAGAGAGGTTAGCTCCAGTTCTCTCCCAGATGCTGCAGTGTAGGTGTAGGAGTCCTGGCAACTCATGCCCTGTTCCCTTCCACGTCTCCCACAGGCTAGAGGGGCACAGATCCAAGGGCAAAGCTCTGGGATCACTAAGTACTGGGCTCACCAACATGTCCAATACTTTCAGGCCTTTGTGGTAGGAGGTCATTGGCATAGATAGGAAGGAAGTGCTCTTCCTCTAAGGGGGATGGGGCACCAGGTTACCATGGAAGCCATGAGTAATTTCCTTCCTAAGAAAAGTACAAACTTCCAGGCAGTCAGAGCCACTCTGACACCATCTTGAGCAGCAGACTGGATTCTGTGCCTTCTAGAGGTCTCCACCCAGACTCATCCCAGCCTGCTGCTCCGTTATTAGAGGCTTAGGATATACGCCCTGTTCAATATTTATATACTTTTATTTTGGCTGCAGCATTTTGAAAACCCTTGTGGATATCTGTGCTAAGGAAAGAATGAAGTTTTTAAACTATGAAGGTTGAGAAAATTTTAACCCACGGATACATGTCGGATGAGAAAGAGGAGGGCTTCCTACAGCAAGGGATGTCAAGAGTGTGGTGCAGAACAAAACCCTAGAAGCTGTGAGATGGGCAGGGCACTCCTTTTTTGGTAATCCTCAAGCTAAAACCTTTGGACTTGGAAGTCACAATCTAGACTCCAAATGCTCCCACAATCCCTATCTCAGTCTCTCTGGTTTCCCCAGAGCTAAGATGAACTACCAGCAAATGTCTTCCAACAAATTTCCAGAGCCACCTCCTCATTCATTTCCTTGCTCCTATCCAGAAGCCACAAGCAAAGAGATATTGGCTGGACCTCTAGCATCTCCCCTTGCTGGCTGTGCTAGCAACAGAGGCAGTGCCCCAGTAGAGAGATCCTTCTATGCTAGCCTGGGTTTCTCCTCCTCCTCCTCCTTCTTCCTCTTCTTCTTCTTCTTTTTTTTTTTTTTTAACTTTTCCCTAACCCCTTTTCTCCCCTTCCCTATTGGCTGTCTCCTGGGAAACTGCATATCTAGGATTTGAGCTGTGCATGCCAGCGGCCCACTTGAAAACTCCTCTCACTTTTCTACAGCCTTGGAGAACAGTAGACTCTTTTCTCTGCATTCTTTGATGTTCATCCTCCTCTTTGCTTCCTAGAAAGCTTTTTAGGGTGGCAACCCCAGTGAGGCAGAGGTGATAGGCAGCCTTGGAAAATGGAGAGAAAAAGGGGCTTTGGCAGAATGGGTGGAAGGATGAGGATCTCTGCCAATATGCACAGCTTAGTAGCAAATTCCATGTCCTAAGTCTAACAGAGTGCCCGTGCAACGAGCCACTTCCTCCATCCTCAGCTCCCTGGGCAGGACAAGGAAGCCTGGCTCTCTTTCCATCCCCCAGGAGAATCAGAAGGTAGGAGAGAGAAAAAGGAGGACTCTACCTGTTTGCCAGGGGGAGGAGAGCGGCTGAAGCTGGAGTCACTGCTGTCGGAGCTGTGAGGCATGGCTGAAATCTTCCGGGCTCTCACACTCAGCCCCAGGCACCTCTGGGCTCTCTTGTCACCAGCTGGGCTCCCTTCCTGACTTCTCCTGGGCCACCAGCCCACCACCCCCTACAGGTGCCTCCTCTGCCTGCCCTGTAGCCACCTCTGACCCCTGCGTCCTCCTCACTCTGGGGTGCAGAGGGACTGCTCCCCAAAGGGACATGTCGCTCGCTTTGGGGCTTGCACGCTCTCTCTCTCTCTTGTGGTTTCTGGTAACTCACGCTGGAAGTCACATGGGCGGAAACTTCAGCGAGTTAGAAGTTAGAGAGAAAAATACATATCTGGGAAAAGACCTACAGAATTATGTGAAAGAAAAAAAAATACAGATACCTTCCGACAGTTTGAAAGACACAGCAGCCCTCTTCAATTGATGAAGATAAAAGAGAAAAACAGCCCAGGCAGGGAAAAACCCCAGCCAGAATTAGCAAGTCCGTCTTCTGTCAACATGGGCAGAGAGGAGAGGACAACCAGGAAAATGTTTCCATTGTCATACGACTTGATTTTTAAACCAAAATAAAGCAAAAACACTGGGATTTCTTTCTGGTTTTCAGCCGAAAGCAGCTGCTCACCCATCTTGTCTTTCCTCACCCCTTAAGTCCAGCCAGCCTCGGGGTGGTCTGGAGATAAGACGATCCAAGGGTATTCTCCTTTCCTGACCATCAAACACAAGGGCTGTGGGAGATCAGAAAGCCACAAGGGAGGTTCTAGAATTGCTGCTCTGAAAGCCTATTAAGCGCCTGTGCTGCTTGGCAGGGAGCTCACACTCTTTAGAGAAAAGATGCCTTCCATATTGAGCAGCTCAAGACAGGCCCTGAATCTTTATGATTCAAGGTCACCTGGTCAGAACCCAGAATGCAGAAACAGTTAAAAAAAAAAAAGAAAGAAAGAAAGAAAGAAAAAGTGAAACAAATACTACACTTGGAGTCAGACCAACCAAGATTTAAATTCTGGTTCTACCACTTTGTATGTCTGTGGCCCTGGGTAGCTCACTTGAGCTATGTGACCTTCATTATCTTCATCTGTAAACAGAGGATGATAAAACCTGCCCTGCCTACCTCTTAGGAATGTGGCACAAAGCAAATGACAACGCGGATTAGAATGCCCCGCAGACTCTGAAGTAAATGACCGAGAGGGTAAGTGTAGGGTATTCCCAGCCTTGCCATGAGCGCATTTGTAGGGTTCTCAGTGATCAATTCAACCCTCACCTGGGCATCGTGGCTTTTTCAAAAGGCCTTACCTTATTCCCAGTATGGCTCGAAGCCAAACATTTGCCTTATTAAATTTTAGGATTGACAGGAAGTTACGGCTCCTAGAGGATTTTTGTATCCATGAGCTGAATTTCTAGACTAAGACAATATTGCCCTAAGGTTAAATTAAGTAAGACAAAATTCCTTTCCTATGGAGGAAAATAAAGCAGGGTTGGAGGTTAGGGAATTCTGGGTGGTCAGAAGGGCCTTGCCCAAAGAGGGGATACCTGAGCAGAGATTCGAAGAAAGAGAGGGAGTGAATGGTGAGTGTCTCAGGGAAGGACATTCCAGGACCTGAGGTGGAAGTGTGCTTGAGTATTGGAAAAAGAGCAGGGGGGCCAGGTAGTTGGATATCAGAGGCAGCAAAAGTGGCAGGCGATGAGGTCAGTGAGGTAATGGCCCGGTCAGGGAGGGCCTTAGAGGCCAACATCAGGATTTTAGCTTTCATTCTGAAAGACACAGTGAGCCCATGGAGGGTTTCCCCTTCCACCTTCATTCTTATCCTCTACCTCAGCTACTATTCATTTCTCCCATAGCAGTTACCCAATTTTATACTTATTTTATTCGTTTACTGATTTATCTTTTTCCTGTTT